>NC_000004.12:157709259-158012290 GCF_000001405.40 Homo sapiens | reverse complement strand
ACAGGCTTTCAGTTTCTTAAAGCATTTGAGAAGGATCATAAAACTGTAAACAAACAGAGTCCTCTCTAAATAACCAACTTAAGTCTCCTATCATAATTAAAATAATTTTCTAAAAGCACATGATCCAAATTGAGCCAAGAATTAATTTAAAAAATAAACAGAAAATAAAATAATATTAAATATGAAACTGAAACTATCTACAAAATCACCTAATAAACAGAAATATGTTATATGATGACAGTGAAGTTTACATATTCTTCCCACTTTGCTAGAGATCAGTGCTTGTAGGGGAAGAAAATTTGAGAATTATCAGGATGATATTTCTTCTTATTTCACCAGGTACATGTTAACATCTCAGTTTTCCTAAACTAAATGTATGCATTTTTCATTATAAAGTACCTTTACTCACTTAAAGCTTCCAGTTAGCAGAAAGTTCATTTCTATGTGGCTTTGGGATTTGTACTCTTTATTTGGGCTAAAACCTTGTGAAGCAAAGACAGCTGAGGGGAAAGGACAAGAAGCTACATGGAATTCTTCACCTTAAGGCTGGAGTCAGAGAGGAAGGGAGTGCCAGCGACCCCAGACGTGTGTCAAGGTGTTCCCCTGCCAGAGACTTGGAGCCAACTCCAGCCACTACCTGGTGAGATACTGTACTGCCACTGCAACAGAACCATCTCCAGGATCCACTTCACTTCTTTACAACAGCTTGCTCTGTGACAAACCCAGTGCCTAATCCTACCTCCCTGCACAAAGAAGATGATTCAGGTGCACACTCTTTGCCAAAAACTTTAATATTGACAGTAGTCTTTATGTTGTGTTTCAGTCCCACTGATAAGTGCAGGAGGCAACTTGAGAAGAACTGATTGTGTATAAACTAGAGCCTTGGTAAATATATCAGAATATCAACACTGTTATAGCTGGAAGGCACTGGCTTCCAAAAGTCTTGGCCACATCCCCTAGAGGGGCACAGGAATGATGCAGGGGTGGGGAGGGGGCACTAGGATGGGGACCACAGAGAGTTCTGCTGTCTTTGGGTTCCACATGTCAAACAAGCACCAGCTACAAATGACAGTTCCAAAAGACTCAGCATTGGTACATTGGAAAATACCCAATAAATGTGGTAAACATAAAAAAAGTGAAATTTGACCATTTATCAAAGTTATTTGTGATTATCAAAACAAAACCCCCCAAATTTAAAATGGCCATATTTAAACCATAGACTGTAGTGACTGTACAGGCTGCAATGATAGTGAATGAATATTTTAAATTCAGTTCTGGTGACAACTATGACCAAAGGTGATATTTTCTAAATTTATTCCTTTAGAAAATAAGTGATACAATTTCATTTGTTTAATTTTTTACAAAGGTAGAATTCTTCATAATCGGGAAATGCTATTGCCTTTTATTCTCTAAGAGTTAAGCAATGGCCATAAACTTCAGTTCTATTTGATCATTTGTTCACATCTGCATGTTAACAGGTTGGCTTGTGATGAACCGTATTCAGCTAAAGCCACCGAAGTACTGCAATATAGGGCAAAACAAATCATACAGTGTTTTTAGTGGGCTGTCAAGATACTTCACGTTTTTTTCAAGCATTTTCTACTGCATTATATAATGTTTCCTCTAGATATTTCAAATATTGCACAGTGTAAGATCCCCATATTCACTCTTCTCAAAACAGACCTTGGCAGGCCAGACATGATGGCTCATGACTGTAGTCCCAGCACCGCGGGAGGCTGAGACAGACGGGCGATTGCTTGAGTCAGGGAGGTCAAGGATGCAGTGACCCATGATCACACCATTGCATTCCAGCCTGGGAGACAAAATGAGACCCCATCTCAAAAAAAAAAAAAAGCCCAAAAAACAAAAAAAGTAAACAAAAAGCAGACATTGGCCATCATTTCCCTTTAGAAAACTAAACCTTAACCTCCAAAGAAATGCCATTCCCTCATTTATACTCTCCTTGTGCACTGTAGAGACTTCTCTCAAAGCACTTATAGTGATAGATTCATTAAATCTGTCTATCTCTCTCTCTATCTATTATCTATCTATCTTGCTTGGTTATGAACTTACCCTATTTATTCCCTCACACAGACTTATGTGCCCTATGCTCTGAGGGCTTAGGCTGTATTCATTTTTACATATTCAGCTCTCTGCTCCAAATCTAGCACACCTAGTTATTTAACAACTATGTATTAAGTGCTTACATAGAGTCAGACTGGTGTAGTGGAACAGCGCATTAGCTGTGTGATTGTCAGAAGTGTTTGAACCAGAGCAACTCCATCTTGAATAGGGGCTGGTAAAATAAGGCTGAGACCTACTGGGTTGCATTCCCAGGAGGTTAAGGAATTCTTAGTCACAGGATGAGACAGGAGGTCGGCACAAGATACAGGTCAAAAAGACCTTGCTGATAAAACAGGTTGCAGTAAAGAAGCTGGCTACAACCCATCAAAACCAAGATGACCTCGAAAGAGATCTCTGGTCGTCCTCACTGCTCATTATATGCTAATTATAACACATTAGCATGCTAAAGGACACACCCACCAGCACCATGACAGTTTACTGTTGCCATAGTAACATCAGGTTGTTATCCTCTATGGTCTAAAAAGGGGGGAACCATCAGTTCGGGGAATTGCCCACCCCTGTCCAGGAAAACTCATAAACAGCCCAGCCCTTGTTTGGTATATAATCAAGAAATAACTGTAAGTATCCTTAGTTGAGCAGCCCATGCCGCTGCTCTGCCTATGGAGTAGCCATTCTTTTATTCCTTTACTTTCTTAATAAACTGACTTTCACTTTACTCTGTGGACTCACCCCAAATTCTTTCTTGCGTGATATCCAAGAACCCTCTTTTGGGGCCTGGATCTGGACCCCTTTCCGGTAACATGATCATGGGTAGTTACTTTATCACTCTTTATTTCCTTTTCTTCATTTTTAAAATGTGTGTAATATGTCATTTAGTTTGCAAGGTTGAAGGGATTGGAGCACAAACCTTCTCAACAAGCCTGAGGAACTTGCCCTCAGGTTTGTCAAGGAGCAAGGCTGCAGCCGACAAATGGAGCCACTGTTCTCTGTTTCTCTGCTGTGTCAAGTTCAAAACTGATGACCCAAGAATGGAGCTCATCAATTTCAAAAGGAAATAATTCTATGCTTTTTTTTAGCCTCAGAAGATAAATATTTCTTGTGGTACCTCTGACATGGCAACATGCCCATGCACGTCGGCAGTGAATAGATGGGGTTGGTGGATGGAAATGGCAAACAGACCGGACAGACCTCACCCAAAACTTAACAGCAGCAGGCCCTGAGAGGGCCAGTGAATCTCTCCATGATCCTTGGTTAGTGGTCAATCTGAAGCTTTTCTTACCGAAACAAATAAAGATATGTCTACAACAACTGATATCGACTGAGAGGCATATCAGGCAGGGGTAGCTGCCTGAACTCTGAAAGGGACAGAGAGGAGGCACAGTGAAGACAAAGAAGTAATGTGTAACTTTTGGGGAATGAGGAGGCTACAGAGCCTGATGGTAAAACTATGTCAGCTGCTCAGGAGGGAGAAGCTGGAAGGGAGGTTTGTTGTTCTTGGCAGGCGGATGTGGAGGTTGGAATGAGTGTAGTCCTTTTAAGTTTTGTTTTGTTTTCTTTCCAGAATATCAGTGACCTTTTCTCCCAATCTAAAAATTTAACTTAAGAGAATATATTATGTGTAAACTTGGGGCAATAAGGGCAAAACAAAACAGCAGCAAAAACAAGGCAATAGCATTTGCTAATCTTTACCTGACAGCTGAAATAGATAGCATTTGTAAAGATGCGGCTCAAAGAAAGTACTCACAATTGATAATTACTGTTGTTGTTGATGTTTAGTTGCGGATCTGTTATGAGTGCCATTTATTTGTCACTAGGCTTTTGTTTATGTGCAATTCATTTTCTCTAATATATTCATAACAAATTTATACAAAAAGTATCAATTTCCCATTTTGTATTCAATGGAATTGAAGTTGAGAAAAATTAAATTAACTGAATAAAGTCACATAGACAGGAAGTCAGAAATCAAATGCAGACTAGTATATGTCCAGGTTCTTTCTTTTACATGGCATTGCAAATATTTAACATACAAAGTGTGAGGTTCTAACCTATACAAATATAGAAAATGGAGGAGCAAATGGATGGCAACTAAAGTAGGAATACACTAAAGATCTATTTTCTATTAATCCACACTTTTCCTTATTTTGACATTGTTTCTATCCCAAGCACAAGTAAGTGTTTCCATTTGGATGCTAATAGGTGCAAGCTTCCCAGCTTCACTTTTAAGACTTGTTAAAAGAAAAACTTTAGTTGAATTAAATTTAAGAGAGTTTAATAGAGCAAAGAACTATTCGTGAATCATGAATCAGCAGCCTCCTGAGCCAGAGTAGGCTCCATGACTTCAGCACAGCCACGGATGTAGGGACAGAAAAAGCAAAGTGATGTACAGAAAACATAAGTGAGGTGCAGAAACAGCTAGGTTGGTTACAGCTTGGTGTTTGCCTTATTTGAACAGGGTTTGAACAGTTGGCCACATCTGATTGGCCAAAACTTGGTGATTGGCCTAAGAGTAGGTTACAACTCCATTTAGTTTATAGTTCAGGATGTACAGAGAAACATTTAGGGTGAACTTAAAATATGTAAGGAGATGGCCTTAGGCTAAACATAATTGAACCGACTTAAGAGATTTGAATTGTTCCCATAAATTGTGGGAAACATCAATAATTTAAAGATGATCACTTATATCATCTTTCATCAAACTATAATGCTGTATTCAAAAAGCAAGAAACCACTGAGAAGAGAAAAACAACAGGTTTACAAGTTATTAATAGCCTAAGTCACAGCTTTGGAAGACAATTAACATTTTTAAAGACAATTATAAAACTTATGAACATGGTTTCCATAGTAACCACTGTTTGCTATTTAATTAGGATATTCTTAAAATTCTGTTATAAAATAAAACACTTCCAGCAATTGTCAAGATATAAAAAGGTTCATGCTGTGTTATGCATGGTAAGGGTTTTCCAGAATTAATAAGGAAGTGTGAACTTGTTGGTTTGTTGTTCTGCTACAGCTGAGGGAAAATGCTGTAATACAATGAGTAGGCACTTAGCCAGGAGGCCATTTCCTAATAAAAACAGTTAGCATTGTGCCATAAGCATAAGAAAAACAGCTTATAAAACACCATATGAAACTTGAACTCAAGGAAAAAGAGGATATGATTTTTTGTAACATCCTAACTTAAAAATAAATGTTCTCTCTTTTGGCCACCAGTATAATACTTAAAATAGTTTGATAATTATTTCTACAGTTGTGTCACTTTTTCTTTTGAGCATTAAAGTAGGTGGCACATCATCCAAAGTCAGGCATTTAAAACATGCACCTTAAAAATAGTTTGTTGTCCGCCTTAAAATACTCTTGTTTATGAGCCTTCAGCAAAGTGTTATTTTTAGCCAACTGAAGTACTGATATAGGAGTAAATGAAAAGAAAAAAAGAAATTCTGGTGGAACTCAACAGAGACAAAGCACACAAAATTTGAATATATTTAGGCCGTAACACTCCAGTTTCTACTCTGTGTGAAAATATTACAAATAAGCATAGTTATTCAAGAATTATAACTTTCTTGCTTAGAAAAGAAGTAGTATACTTAAAGATTTTCAAAAGGACCACACATTTTGGAAATAACAGTATAACTGCTATTGCCAATGCCTTGTTACAAATTATTCTAAATCCTGTATAGTAATTTTCTGCTTAAAGCCAAAATAACAAATACAGTGTGAAAAACAAAACCCCATCGCTGATTGACGAAACCTCTGTATCATATGTGAGAGACATACACAGCAGATCACATGTTTTTGTTGTAGTCTTAGAAATGATGATGACTTTGGAAACATATGAATCTGTTTAGAAGTTTGGAGAGGTCTTTACAAAGGAAGAAAACAGATAGCTGAGCTTTAGTGGGTAAATAGAAGTTTTCCAGGGAGGGAAGAGAAATAAACATCCAGTCAGAAGCCTAATAAGAACCAAGTCTCTAAAAGGTGAAAATATTGGTTATGCTTGGTGTGGCTATGGTATAAAATTGTGCAAGGGGGAGGGAGAAATAAATTCAGAAAGTTAGTTGGGATTTTATTTTCCTGTTCAAAGTGAATGCAAATTCAATCTCAAGCGTGTCTAACTAAAAAGATAATTAATTAGCTTATGTTACTGAAAAATCCAGAGTTAGATAAATGTAAGCTTTCAGTCTCTCAATTCAGGGTCTGATGCAATTAGTAAGACTCAGTTTCTTTCTCTTCATCGTTGAGCTCTGCTTCCCCTCTGTTGGGTTCATATTCAGCTACAGACTCTCCTCATCATAAAATGGGCCTTTGCCTTGTATCCTGAACCAGGTCCCTTCCATGTTTGACCTGTAATTTCTTCTCATTGAATCAGTTTGGTCACTTGCCCATTCCTGATCCAATGCTGCTCTGCACCATTTGGCCAGGTGTATGGTGCTACTTTACCATTGAAGTTGAGAATAGAGCTACATTTGAATAATATAGGGGGCATGGGTCCTGGCAAATTAAAAAAAAAAACTATAATCCATCCCTTAGGCTAGCAAAAGTACAAACAGAACCTTATTCTTAAATTCCTTTTTCCCAGTTACTACATTCACTCCAAGTCTATGGCCTCTGGTCAATATTAATTCCTTCTCATCAGGTCTGGGTGTAGTTCCTCATGGTCATCAAGCATCATCAAACAAGTAGAGAGTTTATCTTTGTCATATGCAAAACACATTGATAGAAAATACAAATATGTACCACAAAACTTCCATTGGATGGAAAGAATGGGAAACAAAACACGGTGGCCTATCTGGCTCAAAAAGAATAGCAAGGATTATTTGCTCCATTTTCCCTGACACTGTAAGTTCTTTTGTCAGCAGACCTGAATTAGTCACCCTAGTTGTATTTTACTCTATAGTTTTCCTTATTTTTGTCCTCAGTGGTCATGTGTGAGATGTGTGTGTTGGGTATCCCCCATCTGTTTCCCTTGCTATCCGATTAGGAATTTGGGATATGCTTTAGTGGTTGTACTTGCAGCCTGTTTTATTCCAGTGTTGATAGGACAATTCCATTAAAACTTAAGTGGACTTTCAATCTGTCCTCTAGACAATTCCATGGGCCAGTGCCAAAGGCCAGAAATCTCCTCAAGCTGGTCTTTGTATGAGAACTAGGCCCCATGTTTTTCTTAATTAATACCCGCCTGACACATTGCTCTGCCTATCTTCCTTACCCTGAGAATCTGCATCTTGCCCCTGCCTTGGGCCATTTAACATAAGGACTGGGGCTGATGTGGGATCTTTATACTGAGGTGACCATCCCTCTAAGTGTAGTTTAAAAGAGGAGCTTTTCGAAGAATCCTGAGGAGGATGGCTTCTCTCTGGTTTTAATATTACCTCCTGTGATTGCTCCTACTTCCCTGCTTTTGCTGGCAATAACTTTAGTTTGGAGGAGAGAATCCAGCTGTCTGAACTTTCAAATTTTTCTGTGACCTCGAATGGAAAGTCTCAGGCAAGAAAGGTATTTCTTGGTAAAGCCATATATTTTTTTCTTCCTGTCTTTACTTAGAGGAACAGATTTCAATGTCAGCTTCTTTTTAAAAAGAAGACTTACAGTGAACCATAAGAACTAGCAAGCATATGCCACAATTCTACATTTTTTAAATTCAAGACGATTAGTTCTATTGTCTCAGTAAGGATAGCTTCTGAACACCAAGCTAATACGTGTGTAAATTTACCTATTTGTAACCTCCGTTACCAAATTACAAGTGTTACCCAGCACGAAGTGTTAGAGTCCTCCTCCCTCCTTGATTCTTCCAATTATGAATTTAGTGTTTGTCATTTGCATTGTTCCATTCTTAGTGTTAGCTTTTGTATGTTCTGATGGCACGTGAGAGAAAAGACAATCCAGAGTATGACAAAGGGGGTTTATAGACTAACACAACTGAAAAGGCCAGGGTTTGCTTGAGCCAGGGGGATGTTAACAGGATCAAGTTTTTCTTTGTTCGTGTTTAAGATTCACATCTTCTTTGTTGACTTGTTTTTCAGATAGTGTGCTTGTTTGAGTTGTGTCGATTTTGTGAAAGATGGTCAGATACTGTGTTAGATAGGTGAGAAATAATTGAATCAGAATTATGGATTTGCCTAGACAGGAAAATACAGATGAAAAGAGAAGGATACCAGGCTAGAATTCTGGAATATACCAATGCTTAGTGCAAAGGAAGAAGTGATGATAAAGGAGGGGGAGAAACAGCAGTAAAAATGTAGTTAAAATACTGGGGTAAGTCTTTTTATGACTTCACTAGACTAGTATATAAACTAATACTTTCAAAGAAAAGTTGCATATTTAAAAGCTTTGACAATTTTTAATGCATTTTTGATAGCACATGATTCTGAAAAAATAAATGAGAAGTTGGTTTTTTGAAAAGAAAGAATAAATTGGGAATAATAACCAAACATAACAGTGAGTTATTTTATTTGAGAATAAAACAACTATAAAGACAGAAAGTGAGTAAAAAGTAATCTGTTCTTAGAAAAAAGAGTTTGACAGTTTATCCAAGTTTATCATAGAATACCTGTATAAGTACACTATTTTAGGTGCTTTAACATTTTGGAACATTCCAATTTTGTTATTTATCAATAACACTTTCAAATGTTTCCTAATAAGAAACACATGTATCACATATAAATTTGTTATTCTACCATTACTTCTACTTTTTAGAATTGTTCTTTTCAGATCAATTCTTGAGTGTTCATTTCACCAGAGCCAACACCTAAACAGAGAACCCCAGGGAAATTCAGGTTTTGTGGTTTGTATTGCAGCTTCTCAGGAAGCTAGCATGAAGTTGTGTAATGTCTTTCTATCAGCTATTCCTTGTGGGTATAGTGAGCTATTTTCTCATGATTAGACTCTATAATTACAGACATTTAATAACAAATCATGTCATGATGGGCCTAGGAATTTCAGCCATAAAATTGGCACTTGCCAAATATCAATTATAAAACTCAAAGCATTATATAGATATTGGTAGTATTGTTTTGTTCTCAGACCATCAGCACATATGCATAACAATTATTGTCATTGCCACATAGATTTTAAATCCCTTTGGGAAGATAATGCCTGCCTCAGTGATAATAGTATTTATCGTTTGATCTTTCTGCCTAAGGTATTAGAAGTTACTAACTCCCAGAGTCTTTTGATTTCTTTGAGTAGCTTTTTGTTAAAAAAAAAAAGCCAACAACACACACAAACATCAACCATAGTGAAGCACAATTAGAAGAAAAGGTAAACTGCTAGTTAGAGACTGCCCATGAACTCGGATAGTGAGTGAGATATTTCAGTGTCAAGTATATCAAGGGACTTGAAATCACTCTCAGACTCCTCCCGTAAGACTTTCAGCTCAGTGTTTTTTAATTGACAAAATAAAAATTTATATACTTATGATATACAATATGATGTTTTGAAATATATACACATTGTGAAATGGGTAAATTAAATTAATTAACATATGTATTACCTCAGCTACTTATCATTTTTATGTGGTGAGAAAGAACACTTGAAATATACTCTCTTAGCAATATTCAAGTATACAGTGTATTGCCACTAACTATAGTCACAGTCTCTTGAACTTATTTCTTCTATCTATCTGAAATTTTGTATCCTTTCACCAACATCTCTGCAATCTCAACCCCTACATTGCCCCGACCCTTCACCACCACACAGCCCCTGGTAACCACCATTCTACTTCTGCTTCTAAGAGTTCACCTTATTTAGATTCCACACAAAAGTGAGATAATGCAGTATTTGCCTTTCTGTGCCTGGCTTATTTCAGTTCACATAATGTTCTCTAGGTTCATCTATGTCATTGCAAATGATAGATTGTTTTAACACACACATAAAAATGAAACTCTGCTGTTATGTAAGACAAAATTCAAAGAGGGAACCAAGTTTGTAAAGCAAAAGCAGTAAACAAAAATTCCAAATTGTCATCTAAATGATATGTGAGATAAAAAAGTGATTAAAATTTATAACTGTAGACTATTAGAACAATAAAAATGAGAACCCTATATTAAAACTAATATAAGTGGTTCAAAGCTAAATTCGAATGTGATTACATGGTTAAACAACAACACAAAAAAAGCAAACTAAACCTTCAACTTAGAATGGTCCAGAAAAAATTAAAAGGACACACACACACATACACACACACACACAGAAGAGAGGAATAAAAGAAACAGGAAGGAAGGAATTAAAGTAAGGAAATTAGAGAACAACAAAAAAACAGTTGAACTGCAAGGGAAACCATGAGAGTTGATTCTTTGGGGAAAAATAGTAAAGCTAAACTTGTGGAAACTATAATAACGAGATAAAAATTTTTCAAGAGAGAAAAGGAATGTAACAATGTTTAAGTAGGATATTAAAATTATGAGACTATTGTATACTCAATGCTAATACATTTAAACATTTCTATGAAATAATTGTTTTGTAGAAGATAATAAACTTCTAAAATATATCAAGAATAGAAAGTAAAAAATACATTTTGAAAAATTATTTCCACATAAAACTCTAAACAAAAACAGATGACTTATTACAGATTTACAAGGAATGGATTTAACATTTCCATGCCAAATTGTGTGGCCAAGAGTATCGAAAAGGATGGAAAGTGATCTAATTAGGTTTTTGAAGGCAGTATAGTTTTGAAAGTCTCATCACTTATATAATTGTAAACATAAACATTCAAAATAAAACTGATTATTGAGAAAATAATCACTATTTTCAAGTAGTTTTATTCTGTGAAACAACGGTTAAATATTAGAAAATATATGATGTAACACAAATTATATGTCCAATAATTAAAAAAGCTTATTTTAAAAGAGGCTAAAATATATTTAATAAAATTAATCGTTTGACTATGTGTCACAGCTCTCAGAAAATGAGGATGGAAAAGCTCTTTTTTGATTGCAGTCTTTTCCCCTATTCCACACCATGCACCCACTTTTGTGTTTCTACTTTGTAGTCTTTCACCAAATTTTTTATTTCGCATATTCCTCTTAGCCCTACTTTTTATCCTTTTGGCTCAGTTTCTCTACTAATCCCTAGGATGATCGTGGTTTGAATTAACACAGGTCTTCAATACATTTTTCCTACCACATTACTTTTCACCAACCCCCTCCCACCTCCTATCTTCATTTACCTTTTAGCCTTCTCTAAATTCCAAGATGAACCATCATAATCACTCCCTTGCAAACAGATTCATCTCCTTTGTTATCTGAACCCCTTGTAACAATTGTCAATATCTGAGCCTCAATTAACCCAGCTACCCACCTATACCATGCTTGCAACCCAATAGCTTAACGGGGAAAAGTCCAACTGATTTCACTTTAATTTGTTAACCACAAGCTTCAAAACACCCTCCGCCCTGTCTGACACTCCTACTCATTTTCCGATTGTCTGAGATGACTGTGTTATCCTTCATGTTCTTGTCCCCAAGTTCTTCCGCTATCTTTCGCAAGCCTTGCTCTCAGAAGATTATTTAGTGTTATAATTCATGGGTTAATTAGATGCAGGATATCAGAACATCCTCTACTTACCTAAAATTATAAAAACTTAGCTACGTTTGTATCCATAATGCTGTAGTCTACTTGTTAACATGGAAGACGTGCCTGTTCTCCAACAAGGCCAAGTCCTCCACCGAAGATTGGTCACTTTCACACAAAAGAAATCTAACAACTTTCTTCATTCTGCTTGTTAAAATGGAAGCGCCCCTGCGCTAATCACAGGTGAACCTTTCTGTTCACCTGAATTTTATTCCTTGGGGCTTCTGAAGACTTCTTTACCTGCCTCCATTTGAATCACATCTCTCTCTCTCAGATTGGTTCAATCTGACTGATGCGTAGTCAGACTCTCAGGGTGTCTTCGAACTTTTTCTCTATAAAGAGCAACGGACAGTCCCAACAAAAATAACAAAATTTTGATCACGCATTAATTTCTCTGCATCCTTCTCAGCAACAGGACATATAATTGTCCTCACTCGTCGCCTTCATTTTATTCCTTTGCATTCACTTTTTGTCCTACTTAAATAATTTTAATGTAGTTTTTTGAGAAGGCAATATATGACTGTCTTAAAAAATTTGAGCAGTACAGAATGTTAGCACCCTTCTATCATCAATCCCCAATACTAAGATTTCTCCAAGTTGAAGTGATTTTTTTTTGCATAGATTAAAGTATGCTTTGCTTTTCCACTTATCAAGGAGATCTTTCATGAAGTGTACACAGGTATGTCTCATTCCTTTTAACCACTTCTGGGCTTGCTGTCACATAAATGTATTTACACAGTTCCCTACAATGAAGATTTATAATGCTTGCAATCTCTTGCTAACACAGAAAATACGGCTGGGAAAATCTTTGTAATTATATTTTTATGCCATGTATTTATGGGATACACTCTTAAAAGTGGGATTATTGAATCCAAAGGATATGTTTATTTATAATTTTGGTAAATGTTGGAAAATTGCCTTCCAGATGTTTTACTAACTTAAATTTATACCAGTACTGTATAAGAGTGCTTGATTCTCCACACCTTCACTAATACAGTGTAGTAAGAGAATTTTGCTTTTTGCCAAATGCAGTATTTGAAAACTTGATATCCAAATGCAATTATAATTTACATTCATTTTATTATGACTGAGGCTGATCATATTTTCAAATTTTAAAAGGCTTTGCGTTTCTTTTTATTTCTGAATTCATGTCTTTGCCCATTTTTTTTACATTGGTTTGTTTATAATTTTCTCATTAGTTTGTATGGGCAATGTATATATATATGTTAAGAAAATAAACATTTCAGCAGCTGGATTACTAAAATATTTAAGCTAGTAAGTTTGTAAATTTTTTTCTTTTTCTTAAATTTATTAAGTTTAAAACTTAATTTTGATGGACTCAAATTTATACATTTTTAAATAGTTTTGCACCATGTTTTGAAAGTTTTTACATCATGCTTATAAATACCTTACACTATCAAGTATATGAGAAGGTTTGCCAATGTTTTTCTTTCATTTCCTTTCAATTTTATAGTTCGGTTTTTACACTTTGAAAACATTGGTCCTTCTGAAATGTATTTAAGAAGCAAGAGAGAGAATCTAGCTCATTCGTTTTCCCTAGATGCTACCCAATTATTCCAGAATTATTTGATCCACACACCTCCCCCTGTCTGCCTCTCAATACCCATGGATTTAGAATGCCACTTTCACCAGTAACTAACAACCCATATATATTTAAGACTATATCTGACTTTTTGGTTATATTGACTATTTGTGGCCAGTGCTAGTATTTCCTATTGTTTTAGAACATTTTTTTTTCTTGTATAGCTAGCCTTTGCTTATTATTCTTCTGCTTCATATTTTCTTGGATATTATTACACGTTTATTTTTTCTTTGTAGACTTTAGAATCAATTCATAACATTCCTAATCATGAGAGAAATACAAATCAAAACCACAATGATATACCATCTCACACCAGTCAGAATGGTTATTATTAAAAGTTAAAAATCAACAGATACTGACTAGGATGTGGAGAAAAGTGAATGCTTATTCACTGTTGGTGGAAAGATAAATTAGTTCAGCCCCTTTGGAAAGCAGTTTGGAGATTTATCAAAGAACTAAAAATAAGACCACCATTCAACTCAGCAATTCCCTTACTGGGTATCTACCTGAAGGAAAAGAAATTGTTTTACCAAAAAGACACCAGCGCTCGTATGTTCACCACAGCACTACTCACAATAGCAAAATCATGGAACATCCTAGGTGCCTATCAACAGTGGACTGGATAAAGAAATTGTGGTACACATACATAATAGAATACTATGCAGCCATTAAAAAAATAAAATTATGTCCTTTGCAGCAACATGGCTGCAGCTACAGGCCATTATCCTAAGTGAATTTGAGCAGGAACAGATAATCAAATACCACATGTTTTCACTTATAAGTGGGAGCTAAACACCGGGTACATGCGGACACAAAGATGGAAATAATAGACACTGGGGACTCCAAAAGGAGGGAGGGAGGGAAGGTGGCAAGGATTGAAAATTACCTATTGGGTATTGTGTTCTCTGTTTGGGTAACGGGTTCAGTAGGAGCCCAACCTCCAGTATCATGTAACATATCCATGTAACAAACCCATACGTATATCCCCTGAAATTAAAATAAAAATAACAACAACAACAACAACAACAACAAAGTTTTATGAAAAACTCTGGAATAAATTCATTTGTATTGAGTTAAATGAATAAATTATCTTAGGGTAATAGATATATTTATAATGAGTCATTTCATCAAAGCACAATAAAAAATTTAAACTGTTTACTCTTTTAAAACTTAGGTAGTTTTATTATTATTTTATGAGTCTAGACTTCCTGGAGTTCTTATTAGATTTATTTGTAATTTAATGCTACCCAGAGTTTTAAAAAATTACATTTTTTAGCTGCTTATTGTTGCAGTCACTCAAGAGTAGCTCTTGTCACCCCAAGTCCACTGAAATGTTTGTTGTTAAGGGGACCAGTGATTTTTCTTTTGCAGAACCCAGTGACCTCTTCTGTATTCTTCCTTATTTTGATTTGGAGCAGCATTTGACCCTACACTCAATCTATCTTCCTTGAGAATCTTTCCTCCTGTGGTTTCTTGGGCACTGTATCCTCCTGATTTATTTGTTTTTTTACCTAATTCACCAGGGACTTTTCCTCTACCTACTTTGCTGTCCCTTCCTCCTTATCTAACTTAAATATTGAAATGCCTTTGGGTCCTTTTGTCTTCTCTAGCTACAGTCTCCCTAGGTGATGCCTTTCAGCTTGCTACATATTAACTTACATGTTCTATTTCATGAGATAATCATGAGAGACTTTCAGATATTTAAAACTAACCTCCCACTAGCGGTTCATATAGCCCTGGATGAAAAGTTGTTTATCACCCTTCAAAAGGAGGTACATATATGGTTTTTAAAGAAACTTTTGGAAGGGATAACTGACTCCCTCATTATCTGAGCTATAATTTTCACATTTGGAATAATACAACTGGCAAAATGGTGCAAAGCTTTACTTTGACCCCAGCAAAAGCCATAAATAATATAACTTATACTCTGAATGCCCAACAAACTAGTCTCAATTCATTAGCTAGGGTTAGGAAAAATTTGCAATGCTCCTGCTTTCCTTATAATTAACCAAGAGAAAATTTATATTACAGTAAATACTTCTTGCTGCACTTATGGACTACAAGACAAATACATAAACACATGAAGAAGATAAAATGAAATAGAGACCTGACCTTCTAAAACAAACACAAAAGGATTTATTGCCTAGATTTTATGATCTAGAATCCTCGCTTCAAGACTTGTGTCAAGGACTAATAATCATTTTGCATCTGATAATTGCTTACATTGCATTTGGCAGATGTAGGCCATTCTGAGTTTCTGTTTAGCAATGATCATGCCAGCACATTCAATAATTCATCCTGCAATGAAAGACCATGTGACTAATTTTAATTCAACTACAGACTATGTTCTCTAAAAAAACTCTTCTTAGCAGCAAAATCTTAACTGATGGTAAAAATATAAATATTATGGATTAATGTCTTGTGGCCTTAACTATGTTTGCCCTTGACCCAGAGGGGAAACTGGGTAAGAGAAAAGCAGCCCTTGACATGTGGGACTGGCCTGGTCCTATCAGCTGGACTGGTATGAGGAGCTGGCCTGGTACTTGCAGTTAGGCCTTGTGTATTTCTTTTGATCATAAACAATTTCACAGAACATCAACATCAGACAAGGTCACTCTGTGAACAAGATAAATTAAGACAAAAATAAGACCACTCATAACCAGGTCTGAACACAGACAAAACATAAACACTGCTCCAGCCACAAAATACCAAGCAGCCCCCTAACCTGGCAAACACGAGTGCCTGCCGCTCTTTCCCACTGACAACTCTATTCTGACTCCAGTCTTCCCTCCTTCCAGATGAGATTTATTAAGATAAACAATCATAGACTTGCCCTTGCTTCCTGTCGGCGTCTACTCCAGAGCAAGGCCTGGTTTCCTGAACTCCCCCCCGCCCAAATCATCTCATATGAAGCCAGATTCTTTGATACTGAGATTTAGGGATAAAAATTTTAAAAATAATATACTATGGAAACAGAAAGATTTAAAAATTCTTAATGTGTCTAGTTAGGTAGCACCCACTAAGAAAAGTGAGAGCAGTCATCTCATGTTCAATAGTAGAAAGGCAAAATGATATTATTTTATATGCAAATAAACATGATCAAGTCCTAAAATCATTTACCATTGTATGGAATGAATGAAACACAGGAGAAAGACAAAAGTGATGTATGGTTTGAGTATGAACTCAAGATTTTAATAGTAATTTTCAATATGAACTGACTTTCTATCACCTAATTTGTCTCTGCTTTGTGATAACTATGACATAGGTACCACAAAGGTATAAAACACAAATGTATTTTATAGCATTAGTTAATTTTTCATGTGTTGATTTCCTTTTATTAACTATATGTAACCATGGAAGCCCAGTACCTCATCATAATTTTTTATCCTATTTCTTACCAAGTGTTGAGATTTTCACATTGATGTATTTTAATATTTAAGGATTCATTTTATTATCTTTTAGAATTATTAAAATTTAGCCAAATCAGAAATTTGTTTGATGCATAATAGGTAAATATGGTACCAAATTATCAAATGGAAAGAGAGAACTAAGGTTGTTCTTTCTTGTTTTATGAATCAAATAGCAGAAATGGAAAGTGCTTTATGGTTAGGCCAAAGGAAGGCCACTCTATCATTAAGAATTTACTCATATACAAATTGAAAACCAAGCAAGGTATGTATATATACATATATAAATATAAAATATATATTCAGAATATATATTCAGGATCTACCAAGAGATAAGTAGATGATCTCTTTCCTTCATAATTTTTAAAGATGTAATGAAAGATTCGTTTATTTGGCTTTGCTCTTTCCTGGCTTGCCACGCTCATGCCGTTTTAATTAATCTCCACCAGTTGCAACAGCTTGATTTTTCTGGAATAAGAAATGAGCTGTTTTGCTCTGTAAACATTTTCTATGGGCATTCAGACACATGAGGGAGACGAATGAACAAACGAAAGGTCTTTCGTAAGACTGGTAGTTTACCAAGCACAAACAGAAGATCAAAGTGCCTTTGTTTGGCTTTATCTCTTTTCTTCAGAGGAAATGCCCAGCCATGACTGTTCCTTGTTTACAAAAGTCTCAAGGATTTCAGTTTTTTGAAAGAGAAATGTGAGAAAAAAGGAATGCAATTAAGAAACTGAAATACTGTCTTTGGCCTATACTGTTGGGTTTAAATCTACAAATCTCCAAAACACTTTCATTGTTCTCTACATTGCTTCTGGCAAAAATGTAAACAATATTTGTTTCATCAATCTCTGTCCTAACTACTGCCTACTTTGCTTGTTTTTGCTAGATTTTCCTCTAAAGCTGAAGAATATATTAAACTGACGTGTGTGTATATATATATATAAATATATATACAAATATATATACATATATATACAAATATATATATACAAATATATATATTTATATACGAACACACACAGGACACACATATATACATATATGTATGTGATATATACACAAGACATACACATATATACATATATATGACAAATACATAAAGCCATGATGAAATTAAAAAACAGATTTATATGTCAGTTTAATGTATTTTTATTTACATTTATTTTTTATTTTTTTGAGGTGGAGTCTTCCTCTGTCACCCAGGCTGAAGTGCAGAAGCTAAATCTTGGCTCACTGCAACCTCCACCTCCTGGGTTCAAGCAATCCTCTTGCCTCAGCCTCCCAAGTAGCTGGGACTACAGGTGCAAGCCACCATGCCTGGCTAATTTTTCTATTTTTAGTAGAGACGGGATTTTACCATGTTGGTTAGGCTGGTTTCGAACTCCTGACCTCAAGTGATCCTTGTCTAGGCCTCCCAAAGTTCTGGGACTACAGACGTGGCCACCATGCCTGGCAGTTTAAGGTATTTTTAATATCTATTACATATATACATACACATGTATTTAATTTTCTCACTTTAAATATTTTGATATCACCCCAAAAATATTCTGGTTTTGTGCCAACACCCTGTCTAAATGTAGAAATATTGAATATTGGATTCTTTTGGAGTCAACAAATATTTGTCAAGAATTTGCTTTAAATGCAATAGTAATGGCTATTTTTATGCCATATTAGGACATTTGGACTCTATTGTATAGATGAATGGAGACTTATTGCAGGTATTTGGACAATGGAGTGAGATAATGGCATCTGTGAAAGCGTTCTGATAGTATAGGTAATGCTTTTGAGAGATTCAGGGTAGAGTTCAGTTAAGTTACTATAGGTCTGTAAAGTGACAAAGGATCTGAGAAATATCTATAAAATAAATATAAGGTAAATTAGTTGATTTGAGGACATGCAGGAGAGGATACAGTCAAGGACGCTTTTTGGTTACTTCACTTGGGTGAAGTGATGAGATGTGGAATCCCCACATTTTGCTGAGAAAATAAGAGGATGAGCAGCTTTAGATGAGAAGGCCATGAGTTAGCTTTAAATACATTGACCTTGAGGTACTTCAAAGTATTTGAACACTGGTAGAAACATTCAACTATTTGGTTATAGGTTAAGTCGTTAGCATTTAGGTTAAAATGTAAAGCTTTGTAGTCATAATAAAGAGGGGTTTTCAGGCATTTTACCTTCTTTTTATCTGTTTTATTTTATGTCTTCTTAAAACTTCAAACCAATATCTTTTTCCTTCTACAGATAAATGGGAAACTTGTAATGATATGGAGGGGTCTTTACTTTAACATTTTTATGTTTTTATCAATTCCCAAATGGACCAGCTACTTCTCAGCTTCAAGCACATCTTCTTGTTTAATAAGTACCCTTTGTTTCTCCTTTAATTTCTAAGCTCCAAGGAAACAAACTATAATCTTGCAAGAATGTTCAATAGGCAATAAATAAAGTCAACATCACATGGTCAAGGTCAATATTAGAACAGTGACATGATAAACAAACTCTTTTATTTTGTTAGTTCACAACTCTAGTATTGTGTTGCTCTGTGGGTTTTATTTCCAAATAACCCCTGTAAAATTTGATGTTTCCTTAGATCCGGAAACCCACCAGAACGAATGCTAACAGAATCAGGACTTTCAATGCATTTTATTATGAATTTTAAAAGGCCCAGCAAAAGTAGGATATATTGCTCATAAGTAACTTTTAAAAATAAGTTTAGACTCCCTTCTGATATTAAAATAATGGATGTTCATTTAATAAACTTGTAAACATGTATATATAATAAGTTGAGAATTCAAAAAGGAAAAGGTAGATGATTGAGTTTTCCTATTAACCGGTTTTTAAAATATTTTAAAGTAATTTCTATTAGTAGTAATGGCCATTGAAAGTATAATTGATGCAATATTTTTGCCTTTATAAACACTTGTGTGTTTCCTAAAGACTCAGAAAATAACACTGTATTTAAAAAGTTATAAATCTGTTTCATTTGTACTGCTCAAGATGGGGAAACAAAAATCATGAGGAAACATCTGGTCTTTTTGGAGAAGCAGAAATCCCACAGAAAGTCTAAATGACCTATTTCATAACTTTCTTAAAAAATTGGAACTACCGTAATTGTCAGGAAGTTACGCAGTTTTCATTTTTGAGAAAGCCTTAAAATGTTCATTGTTTGCTGATAAAAATTGAAGTGGCAGTCAATTTTCTAAAAGGTGGCAGAATAGTGCAGGTTTTTGTTCCAAGATGATGTATAGATAAGACTATAAGATTCAGAGAAACATTTAGGGAAAGCGCTGGCCCTTTGGTATCTCTAGAACGCTCAATGTTTTTATTAACTTGGATTAAGAATCAGCATTTGAATTCATGCCTTTTCTCTGATCTTTGCTGCCCCCTAGTGACTCACATTACTACATTTCTCCTGTTGAAATCTACGTAGTCTACGTCTAATTAATATTGTAATTATTGTGCTGAATTAAATATTTATGAGAAACAAATATTTAAAGATTTCTAATGTTTAGGTAAAAATACTAACCTTGCCTCAAGGTTAACCCACTGGTCTCAAGAAATAAGTTGGTTGGATTACTCACCATGATGGATGAAATAGTTGAAGAGAGAAACACTATTCCAAGTTATTAAAATAGTAGTGCTGAAAGTGTGATTTGACAGAATATTTTGGATGGGGAAAACACAATACTTGATGAAATCATGTAAATTTCACATCTTTAAGCCAACTAATGCCATGTTGGGTATAATAACTACCCAAGAAAGTAATGAAAAAATATAAATTAAAATAAATGCAACTATTTTTACTAAGTTGTTAATAAGTTTGATATAAATGATAATACAAAATTAGGAATGCATCATATGGCCTAAAGTTGAGAAATGCTTTAAAAAGTGTGTGCATGTATACATACACTTACAGGTGTTTGTGTAAAATTGTATGTCCTCTTGTTGCCATTAAAAATAGAAAATATACAAGTTATATAATAACCTGTATGTTTTCAACTTTCAACCATATAGAATACAGGATTTATCCTGTAAATTATAATGCTTTTAACCATTTGGAATACAGAATTTATTACTATAAAATAGTGGTTAGTATGCAAAAGCGAAGAACAACAAAATTCAGAAGGGGTTTTACTACTTGTAAATGAAAACTGGATTTGTATTTCGTGTGTTTACTGATTTGTTTTTTCTGTATGGATGAATAATTATGCATGAAAAATAAATTAAAGGATGTGGCATGTGCATGAATGATACGGCTTGGTGAAATATTGTCAAGTATTATTTTCATTTAACCTTGCTTGGATCGCAGCTGGGGCTTATAGAGTTAGAGTGCTTGGCTGAATAGCCACCTGGCTATTATGAAAAATTCATGGTTTCAGGCGAGATTTCAATCACTGCCACTTTTCTAAAGGTGAAAAATAAAAATCCCATCTTTATTCACATAGATGCCCTAAATGGTAACATCTGTAACATGATAACTATAGTTATTTTAGGGAAAGGGGGATAAAAGCTTATCTTTTGTATAACTCCTTAGAATTCCAAATATTTTATTTTAATTTGCTTTACTATCAAAATTTCCTAATTGTTTAAATTCAAAGGTGATTTTTGAATTCATAAGACAATCAAACCCTTCATACTCTTCCAAAGCCAAATGTATGAATAGCTATCTGTCCTGTTATACAGGTATTTTTAAACTCACACATTCACTATTCTAGTTTTCCCCTAAGGTGGGCATTGCCTGAAGTTTAGTCCTAACTTTCCATTTCTGTCTCTATGTGTTGTGCTTTGGAGATCTTACTCTCTCCAGCTGTGTGCATATCTCCTTGTAGATACCTCTACAGTCAGCCTCTCCAGCACTGACTGCTTGTCTCAACTTGGGTTCGACATTTCCAGCAGTCTCCTGCATATAAGTCACTTGGTTGTTCCACGGTTAATACCAACACAAGCGTAAATTTGTCTCAAACAAGATGGAAGAAAGGTAGAGATTACTGAGTTCAAAACCTTTCTTTCTTTTTCTTTCTTTCTTTTTTTCTTTCTTTCTTTTTTTTGAGACAGAGAGTCTCACTCTGTCGCCCAGGCTGGAGTGCAGTGGCACAATCTTGGCTCACAGCAACCTCTGCCTCCTGGGTTCAAGTGATTCTCCTGCCTCAGCCTACTGAGTAGCTGGGATTACAGGCACATGCCACCACGCCTGGGTAATTTTTGTGTTTTTAGTAGAGATGGGGTTTCACCATGTTGGTCAGGCGGGTCACGAACTCCTGACCTCGTGATCCACCCGCCTCGGCCTCCCAAAGTGCTGGGATTACAGGCATGAGCCATCATGCCTGGCCTATTCTTTGATTCTTAATAAGGATTATCTTCTTGTAATTTCTTGAGCAGAAGTATATGAGAGGTAATTTTGTTTAGAACTTGTGTATGTGAAAAATTAAAAATGTTTGTTTCTACCTTCTCATTTGATTGGTAGTTTGTCTGGGTTCAGAATTCTATGTTGAAAATTATTATTCACAAAATGTTGAAGGCATGAAATTCAATTTTCTTTCTGCTTCCAATTGCCTGTTTTTCTCTGTATCTCAATTCCCTGAAATTTTACAGTACTGTGCTTTGCTATGAATTATCTTTTCATTCATTGTGGTAGATACTAATCCGCCCTTTCCATGTGTAAATCCAGACATTTCGATCCTAGATGTTTTTTTGTTTCTTTCTGTATAGTTTATTTCCTTTCATTTTCTTCTTTGTCTTTTTCTGAGGCTCTTATTTGACTGTTTGAACTTTAGTAACAAACCTCTAAAATTTTATCTAGTCTTACCTATTTTTCATTTTGTATTTTTGCTATGCTTTCTGGAAGAGTCTGTCATCTTTATTTTAATCATATTTTATTTTCTAGGAGCTTTTATTGTTTGAATGCTCCTCCGTCATTTTAAAATAATAGTCTAAATATTCTAATTTATGGATATATTATCCGTAAATTTTTATCTCTTTAAGGCGACTTGTATCTCTTTAAGGCGATTGATTATAGAGTTTCTTTGCATTCTTTCTCCTAGTTCCTGCCTTGCCTCAGGTCTTCTGCGTTGCTCGTTCTCTTTGTTGGGCTTCTGTGTTTGAGTTAGTGATATGACTTTCCTCATCCTTGGCTGTTATTTGCCATTTAAGAGTAAAACCCTATAAATATATTAGAAGCTTTGTGTTAATTTCAGGGCTTGTTGAGCAGTGTGCTTTTCTGTAGGATAATTAGATAGAAACACAGTTGTTTTCTCAAGGATACTCTTTCCCCAAATGTCAAGAGTTTTTCCTTAAGCCAGTGGTTCCAAAGAGATGAACCCTCCAGCCTTCTTCCTGTGAGGGAAGCTGGTTGCTTATGTGATGGAAAAGTGGAAGAGTATAATATGGGTCTCACTGTTCAATGTGTAGACCTTCATGCAGAGTCTTGACTGTGTTTGGTGTCTCTGGGTTCAAAGAGTCTCCAGAGAGTAAAACCTGAACCTCGTTCTTCTGTTAAGTGGGGAAAATTTTAGACCTGATCTCTTCTCATAGAGAATTTTAGGATATGCAAAGGTCTAAATGCTTTTGGAGAGTTGCAACCAATCTTCACGTTGTCTGCCTAACTACACCTCAGCCGTCAGAGGAACATGATGCCTCTAACTTGTAGGCCTCCCTGGATTCCAGGGCATGAAGTGACTAGTGTCTTGACTCTCCACTCTTGCACCTTGCAGACACTATCTTTCTTCTTCCTCTGGCCTTAATTTTCTGCTGGATATCTTCCTGTTTTTTTTTGCATCTCAGTTTTTTTTGTTCCCACTTCTTGTTTTTCTTATGTAATTTTATGCATTTTTAAAATTCTTTTACTGAAATTTTATGGTATTGTAAGAAGTGAAAGTTAATCCCACATAATTTGCCAAAATTTAGTTCCTTTTTTTAAATTCTATGGCTATTAACTTATATCATACTTTAATCACTTATTGCTGGGGTAAATAAATTGTTTCCTAACTAATTTCCTCCTTTCAATTTTTTTTCATTGAAAAAATGTCCTGTTAACTGCCACCCTGGGAACAACTCTAAGATAGTACTCTAATTAGATCACTTACCTGCTCAAAACACTCCAGATACTTTTAATGCCTAAAAAAGTAAATTTCTGACCTATTCATGGTCTACTCAGATTTCCAGGCTTATCTTTTACCATGCTTCAATGTGTACATTCTCCTTATACAAATGACTTTACTCACTGTCTTTGGAAAATATCTGCCTGTCTTCCCACTATTCTTGGCAAAACCTATTCTTTTCATTTAATCTTACTCATTCTTCTCAACTCCCCCAAGAAGTCTTTTTGATCCCTCTCATAGAAAAAAATTATTAATGACAGGTTTGCAGTCTATTTCTTTCATTATAGCATCTGTAACACTTAGTATTTATATTTTTATCTTTCTCTTCTAGACTCTAAGTTGCATTGGAGGCCAAGACCTTGTTATATTTTCTTGTTGTATACCAATTTTCAATCAATATTGAATACCTACTATGTGCCAGGATCTGTGCTAAAACTTCTTTAGGCATTCCTCAGGTAAAGAAAAAGGCACATAAGCAGCAGTTTTCAGAAACAGTGAAAGCTGAGAATGGGATCTCAGTGTCTACCTGGAGTTCAGAAAGAGGACTCCAGTTTCTGAAAGGACAGATATAAGCCAGGCTCATCTCAAGCCTTACAGGAAATGAAAGTATAGACTCAATTCTATCATAGGTATCCAAAAAGGATGAAGAATAGGGAAATTGTTTTCTTACTGGCCAATAGACAAGGGACCAGAGCAGGGCTAATAGCAAGGATGAGTTGCTTAATGTTGTCTTCTTCCCACCCCTTTTTCTCAGGCAGTGTTGGTCTGCAAGCTTCAAGAGCCAGTGACCCTGACTGCCAAGTGATTTGCCGAAGGGAATTATGGTAAGTTAATAAGACACCTGGAATTGTGAAACACTAGATTTCTCTAAACTTCCTAGAAGGTTTTTTGACTCCATGAAGTGCATGTCACTCTCATCCCAGGATGAGTTCTAGATTTTTCTCTTTATGGTTTTCAAGGGCAGATTTCATATGCTTAAGAAAGTCACTCTACTAATTTTTGACTTTTAAGTTACATTTACATGGTAAAGTTCTTCCATATGTCTAATCACAATAGTTCGCTTAATTTATGCTAATTATAAAGATCTTTACATTTTTATGTTATTCAACATCATGTTGACTGTAATTCTTAAAAGTTAGGCTCTTTTATGTGTTACAGATTTTCACCCTCCTGTAAGTAGTTGGAGTGTAGGAACCATGGCTACGCATCTTTAAGACTCGATTACATTTAGCATATTAGAAATGCTGAGTTAAAGTATTGTGGGAAACTAATACTTTTAGCATTAGAATATATAGGTTTGGGTATCAATGATTCTGTCAACTAACTGTGTGATTTTGCTCAATCCCTTAAACTTTTAGGAGAGTCTCAGTTTTCCCATTTGTTAATGCAAGATGTTTATCCTTGCAAATTTGAGGGTTGTGAGGGTTAAGTAAGAAGAATATGAAAATACTTTGTGGTCTCTAAAGCACTTTAACCACAGAACTTTTAAGTATTAGTTGAAATGAACAAATGAATGAACACCCTCTGGTGGACTCCTGAAAGTTATTTGTCTCCTGCAGCTAAACATGAAGACACTTTCATGTTTTATTAAAAAGAGTATAATATGGGGTAGTGATTAGAGGAGGGGTGAAAGATTATCTTGCCCACCGAATTTCCAATAATCTCCCTGACAATATGCCTAAAATACTCTTAATTTTCAATCTTGTGTATTAAATCTTTGAGTCCTCAGGAGGCACCTGCTAATATTTTAAAAAGCAACATAGGAAGTAATTTAACGTATCAATGTACATGTTTATACAGACTAATATATCAACAGAGAGCAGAACCTAAAGAAGGAAGTTCTAGGAAAGATAGGCCGTAGAGAGACCTATGCTTCTTCTTTTTTTTTTTTTTGAGACGGAGTCTTGCACTGTTGCCCAGGCTGAAGTGCAGTGGCGCGATCTCGGCTCACTGCAACCTCTGCCTCCTGGGTTCAAGCGATTCTCCTGCCTTAGCTTCCCAAGTAGCTGGAATTACAGGTGCCTGCCACCACGCCCAGCTAATTTTTTGTATTTTTAGTAAAGACAGACTTTCACTATGTGGGCCAGGCTGGTCTCAAACTCCTGACCTCGTGATCCGCCCGTCTCGGCCTCCCAAAGTGCTGGGATTACAGGCATAAACCACCGCACCCGGCCAAACCTATGCTTCTTTAGAGTAAAAGTGCGCAGTGATTCTGGGGAAAAACTAGAAACATTATTTTGAACAGATGTGATGCTTTTATTTACTACTTTATGTAATCTCTTTCCAGACTTCAATTTTAACATGTAATTAGGCATTCAACCCTTCTCCATATTTTAATTTAATTGACTGCTATAGATTTATGCAATAGTAAAAACTCCTTTGAAAATATGGTAAGAAAGAATGGTTACCCACTGCCTGCAAATCCTTGGCAAGCCCTCAGAAAACCCATTTGTAGTAGACGTTTTCCTAATTTTACTCTGAAATGGTGTGCAATGATGATTAAACTATTTCTTAATGAAATTAAACAAAAAGTTTACCAAAATATATGAAATCAAGATAAACACAAGTACATTTCACAGTTTTATGTAATTTATTATTTATGTTACATAACTTATTATTTTTGAAAGATATATACAACCCATGCAATTTTCAGTATTTTTTAATATGTGTAAACCTAAGGAATAAAAACTGTAGCCAGCCTGGTGTGGTGACTCACGCCTGTAATCCCAGCACTTTGGGAGGCCGAGGCAGGCAGATCACTTGAGGTCAGTTCGAGACCAACCTGGCCAACATGGTGAAACCCCATTTCTACTAAAAATACAAAAATTAGCTGGGTGTGGTGGCATGAAACTGCAATCCCAGTTACTCAGGAGGCTTAGGTAGGAGAATAGCTTGAACCCAGGAGGTGGAGGCTGCAGTGAGCTGAGATCGGGCCACTGTACTCCAGCATGGGTGACAAAGCCAAACTCCATCTCAAACAAACAAAAAATTTGTAGCTATTCCTGGATTCTGATCTGCTACATTGTTCATCTCACAGTCAGTTTGCATGCAATGCGGTAAATACACTATGTATAATATAGTCTCTAGATGGAATTATTTACAAGCCAACTACCATTTGTTAAGCATCTATTAAATGTAAAACACTCTGAAATATCTGTTGGTGTAACTGTATGTGTGTGGGGTACGGGAGTGCATAGATTTCCTCTTCGAACATATTTTGAGCACTCACCATGTACTTGACCCTCCACTGGGTACTGAGGTGGTCAGAGCTTACATCATAGTGGAGAGAAAGATAAGCAAGAAAATTACGTACATCATGCTAGATGGAAATGAGTGCTATGGGGAAAAGTAAAGGAGGCAGGTACATATGAGTCCAGAGTGGGAGCTGTAATTCCACCTTACATGGTTAAGGATGAATTCTCTGAGAAGCTGGTGTAGAACCAAAACCAAACAAGGTGAAGGGGCCAGCCATGAGGATATCTGAAGGAAAGCCATTTCAGCCAGAGTAGCCAAGTGCCAAGACCCTGAGGCCAGAGCATGGCCCAGATACATGGAACTGCAACATGGTCTATGTGGCTAGAGCAGAGTTAGAGAGAAGGAAAGTAACAGGAATGATTTTGAGGAGAAAAGGGGAGAGTAGATAATGCAGGTCCTATAGACCATTCTAAAGACCTCGACTGTCATTTTGGATGATAGGAAAAGTCATCAGAGGTTTTAAGCAGTGAAATGACATAATATGACTCATTTTAAACAAGAAAAATAAGACAGGAGTTTCTTCTGGTTTATTTATTTATATTTTAGACATGCCTCACTCTGTCATGCAGCTGGAGTGCAGTTGCATAATCATGGTTCATTGCAGCCTCAAACTCCTGGGCTCAAGCTATCCTCCTGCCTCAGCCTCCTGAGTAGCTGGGACTCCAGGTGTGCACCACAATTCCTGGCTAAGTTTTTTATTTTTTGTAGGGAAGAGGTCCCATTATCTTGCCCAGGCTGGTCTCAAACTGGCTTGGAGCTTGGCTTCCATTTGTTTCACCTCCCAACGTGTTGGGATTAAAAGCGTGAGTCACCACACCCAGCCATGATTCACTTAAAAATTTTAAATAGACCTAGAAGAAGAAAGTGTAAAAGCAGGAGGTGATCCTTTATGCTGTTATTAATAACTCGGTTAAGAGTGGATGTTGGATTGGACCAAGGTGACAGGGGTTAGGTAAGATATGGTTGGGTTTTATAATAGATGAAGGTCTACCTTATAAGATTTGCACATGAAATAGATGTGGGTGTGAAAGAGAGAAATTAAGAACAACTCTAGGCTTTAGGGCCTGATAAACTGGAAATATGGGGTTGCCACTGACAGCAGTGAGGAAGGAAATAAATGCATCAAGGAGAAAAGTTAGGATTTTGGTTTTGAAGAGTTTGTGTTTGTGATTAGACTTCCAAGTGGAATGCAGGGTAAGCAACTGAACATTTGAACCTAGAGTTGAGAAGTCCAGTCTGAGCTAGAGTCAAGTAAAAATATAATACTTGGGAATTGTATATTTATGTAATATTTACTATCAAAGATAGGATGATATCATCAAAGGAAAGAGTAATATTTAGGGCAGAGAAACGGTCTTAGGTTTGAGGCTTTCCAATGTTTAAGAGTTTGGGTAGAAAGAGAAAATAGCAAAGGAGGCTAAGGGGGAGACCAGAATGGGGAAAGGAAAACCAGGAGAGTGTGGCATCCTGGAAGAAGGAGTTTCCAGGCAGTGGATTTGACATCAACTATGTTAAATGCTTTCGATAGATGGTCTAATATGCATATAGAGCCTTGTCCTTTGGATTTAACAATGGAGAGCTCATTGGTAATATTTTCATTAGAAATTTCATGGAGAGGAGTGGGTAAGAGTTTGACTGACGTTGCCTCAAGAGAGGATAAGAAGGGAAGAATTAAGAGGGGAGAAGTAAAAGCATGTATTTTATGTGCATGGAAATGATTCAGCGGAAAGGAAAATGATGCAACAGGATAGAGAATTGCTGAAGTCACAGCTTCGAGCCAGTTAGCAGTGCTGGAATCTCACGCACAAGTGTAGGATTTGGCATTCTTCACTCAAATTAGGAGAGATGGAGGGTTAGATAATAAGCCCAGCTGAAATTAAGTGGAAAACTGCGGAGGTGGGAGCTTTTGGAAGTTCTCTTGCGACTGCTTCTATTTTCTCAGTAAAATAGAAAGCAAGGTGGCTTCATACTCTCAAGGAGTTTAAAATACAGTGGAAGAGACAGAGGAACATACTATATCAAGGCTGAATATTATCAGAGTTAAGGCAGATATATGTGTTGTATTGAACAAACATGACTCATGGGATGTTATTATAAAACAACTTTATTTTTGTCCTCCTTTAAATTATTCTATGCGGCCAGTCTTACTTCCCACCGGATGAAACTTAGGACAAGTCACCACATTTTTTTCCAGTCATGTTCATTAATAAAAATATTGTAAGGAGCAATTAATATGTCCAGTGTAATAATCAAAACTTTATAAATATTATTCAAAGATAAAACAACTCTGCTTTACCAGTGCTGACCATTTACAAGTTGGTTGCCTTAATAAGAAAGAGGCATATTAATTGGGGTATTTTCCTTTTCTATTTTCAATCCCTTCCCTGCAACAGTTGCCATTCTGAACCCCTCTAGTGTTTGACACAGTGTGGGTAGTATAGAAGATTGAGGAAGGAGTAGGACAGTTCTTACTTAGTTAACACCATCATGAGCTGGCATTATATACTGTGGGTCTGCAAGGTTTAAAGCTGACCTTGACTTCTCTTGGGAGACTTGTAGTAGTTATGATGTGTGTGCTGCATCTTGTCCGGCTGGCTTACTGTCATCTCATACAGAAGGAAAGATAATACATGCTGACTATAACCAATCAAACTTACCTTCAAAAAATTAAAATAAGAATATTCAGAGTTGGTCAGCAAACAAGATGTAGAGAAGAAGAAAAATAAATGAGACAGAAAGAAGTGTGGAGTAGAAGCCCTGGGACAAAATAAGCCCTGAGCAACTGGTATCATGAAATGTAAAGTGAGTAAAGGGAGGTGTTGGCAGCTCAATGGAAGGACTGAAACAACAGAAGATTCAGAGTAGCTGAATCATCAAAATGATGATGCACTAGACTCTAGAGCCATATTTGTAAGGTACCATGGGTTTATAGATGTTCAGAGATGTCATTGACATCTAAGAGTAGCTTGAGTTAATCACACAGTGGGTCTAGACAATCACGGGGTTGAAGCTGAGTGCTTGGCCTCTCATTCTCCACCCAGATTGGGCTCCTCCATTATTCTGTCCATCCCTGATAAAGGCATCACCAACCAGCAGCTTCCTAACTCTAAAATCATGGACTTTAGTCTTTGTTCTTCTTTCTTCCCTCCCATGCATGCAATTCGCCAGTTTTAACTCTGCACAAGTCTCAAAGAAATCGCCTTCTTTTCTTCTTCACTACTACACTCTGTTTTAAATCACAATAATTTCCTACCCGTAGAATTATAATGATACTTCTATTTCTACTGTCACCCACTTCCAATTCATTCTCCATTTAGCAAAGTGATTCTCCTAACAGTGTAAGTTAGATGATTTTATTCATCTTTAAAAACCCTCCGAAGGCTTCCTATTGCACTTAGAATAAAATGCAGTTTCCTGGCCCTCACCACAAAGCCTTGGCTCATCTTACTCTATGACCACACTGGCCTACTTTTTCCCACTCGAACTTGCCAGGATTATCTCTGCCACTGAGCCTTTGCACACCCATTCCCATTCCCTTTACCTGGGCTGGTCTTCCTTCTAGCCTTAGCATGGCTGGATCCATCTTGACATTCAGCTGTCAACCTAAATGTCATCTCCTCAGAGATGCCTTCACATTCACCCAACTTCAAGTAACTATCCATTTGTGGTCTAGACCTCACCCATTTTAAATCTCTGGCATAGCACTGGTGATTCTTTCTGGGTGGCTTTTTTGTCAGTGCATTTGATTGTGTGTGTGTATGTGTGTGTGGTTTATTGATCTATTTTTGCTTGATAGGAAAGTCTGTCTCTATTGGAAGGCCAGAGAAGTAGGTTAAGTAAAATGTTCACATTTACAGGTTAGACAGCTGTTATTTTCTTTTTTTTAAAATTATACTTTAAGTTTTAGGGTATATGTGCACAATGTGCAGGTTTGTTACATATGTATACATGTGCCATGTTGGTGTGCTGTACAGCTGTTATTTTCACTTAGTCTCTAAGTTTTGATTTTTTGACCCAGCAGAAAATTTGTTCTCAAAATCCCTTCCTAGGGGTAAGAGTATAATTAGTCTGAAAACTATTTGTCTTAATGACAAACTGACACCAGTTAAGATAAAAAAACTTGAGAGACATTTTCAACAAATTTATGTCTCTTTTGCTTAAAAAAAATCTATCCTGACACATATTCAATATTGGCACAGTCACTATTCCTTGCATTCATTTATTTATTGGATTTATGAAGAGCTTTCTCCTCCACTAACTCAATTTAATTTTATTCAGCTTTGTGGTTGTCATAGTTCATATTTGTCTATGTGAAGGTATCAAATCTGGCCAGGTTTGATTGGGTAAGAACATAATTCTCTGTTTTCCCTACTCATACCAATATTAATAACTGAAAGATAAGAATTAATGTATTTCCAAACAATTCTGAACTCATATTCAAAGACATTTACATTCTAATTGGTTAATGGTTCCAAACAGCAGTGTCCCAAAGTGGGTTTGGATTATAAACTTAAAGTATTTAGGCCCCTGATTTGCATTCTGTTCTTTTTCCTTTCTATTAAATCTGCTTATAATAGCAAATGTCATTGCTACACACACCTGTGAACAAAAATCTGCAAAGCTAAAATGCAAGAGTTGCTATTTGGTAATTTACTTCTTTTCTGTAGTTAAACGTTATATTATATATTCTCTAAAGGGAAGTGATGATATTTGATTTTATGGTCTAAACAGATGAACCAGAGGCAGCCCATTCCCAGCTTTCCATGGTGTAAGTGAGCAGGACTGAAACTCCAAAAGTTCCCATTTACAGGTGGGAGGATGAGAAGTGCTGAGAGAGCCAATGAAAAGGCAGAGGTCTCAGTGAGAATGAGGAGACAGAGTGTGTGGCAACTTCATAATAGCAAGCAAATGGCTGGAGCCATGGGCTCTGACACTAGGGGCCAGCAGATGAGAGGGCCAACCTGCTCAGAAGCCATGGGCTAACATCATGGGGTCACTCTGCAGCAGAGGCCAGAGAGGATAGTGATGATAATCATGGGTTTCTACTTCCCAGGGATGGTGGCTTCTCAGAAAACATGTCAGAATTTATGAAAGTGTGGCTGTATCATTAATGGAGAGATGGTGGTGATGTTTGTGAGCACTCCATTTCTGGGGACAGGTGACATGGTCTTGAATGAGAAATGGTCCCTCCTGTCATGTATATCTCAAGTCAGCTGAACATGGATCAATGCAGTTACAGAAATATGGATAACCTACAAAGCTCACCATACTCTAGCCCTGCCTCCCCCATTTACCCCCATCTTTTCAAGCTCATCTGGTACTTAAAGTGTATAAGATGAAAATTTATATCGCTTACAATAGAGCACTGATTTATATAGATGTAATTCACATTGCTTATAATTGGGTGGTGCTTTATGTTACGTACTGTTAAAGCATCAATTCTAGGGTCTTTTACCCTAGAGTAATGCAATGTTTTCATAAAGAATATTTTAATGTAGAACAGTAAAATGAATTAAATGACCATGGTTGGTGATAGTTTGTAATCGGCTTTTCTCTTTGTCTTAGTATTTTGATACTTTAAAAACGTCCAGAGGAAGAAAGAGAGGAAACTGTTTGCTATTAGAGTATTTAAATAGTAAGATCTGAGAGTTGCTAACCAGGGTGACCATATAATTTATCAAACAAACCAATTTCCTTTGAAAACAAAAAGAGGGTGCTGCTAAAAACCTCACCAAAAGAATTTTAAGCTGGTCTCTCTTTTATAAAGTGGAGTATATTATTCTTATCCTTTGTCTTTTGGTTTTCTGGTTACTTTTACAGAAATAATCAGTACACAAATATGAGGGTTTTTTGTTTTTTTTTTTTTGTAGAGAAGTGACCGATGGTCTTTAAAATTTTACCCAGGGATTGCATTCACAGACTGTCCAACCTAATGCCTAGATTTAATATGTCAGCTGAAATTTTTGTGGGGAGGAATTTGAAATTACTACAAGCAATGCAATTTTGTAATTAATTATGGATTTTAAATACCCACATTCTACAAGTCCTTCTTTTGCTAAATAAAATTAGGTTGTCTGTTGAAAGAAGGAAGAAAGGCAGGGAGGGAATATGGAAAGCAGTAAAAAACAAAGCATACAATAAAATTTTTCAGGTACTTTTAAATGGTTCAGGCAGAAAGCATATAAAATTTGGCTAAATTCAGAGCCTATGTTTTCTCATGGTGAGAGAAAAATCACTGTGTTAGCAGCAGGAATATCCCTAGTCTCTCAGTGAAGCGTAAAATGGTGTCTTGCTTTGCGGATGATGGAAGCTTCCAGATATTTAGCTCTCAGCCACTAGAGGGCAATGGAGTATAGGGAAGAAAACAGTCTTTAACAAAGAACATTCTCTTACCCACGCGCACGCCCCCACCGCCCCCATTAGCCACTCACTGTTAAAAAGAGAAAGATAAAAGCCATAGAGACAATCAGGATAGAAGAAAACACATTATAGTGCGAATACACATTTCATTTCAGTAATAAGGTGAGGGAAAAAAGGAAGGATTGTTTCAACATGCCCCAAAACTGAATTGAAATGGAAATTCTTGCATTTTATAGAGTGACTTATAGGGACAGAAACAAATTATTTAAGTCGGCAATTTTAAGAAGTTTTTTTTTTTCTACTTTTTGGAAATGCTCAACAGTGCAAAATGAATTTCTGAAAATCTACAAAAAATTGAGAAAATATAAATAAATAGTTAAGTGGTTTGCAATCACTGATTTCCAATCACGTAGTTCCAACCTTTTGAATTATTTCCTCTGTTACTTTTTGCTATAATAAGAGTCTAGGTATGGGGTTCAGATAATTGAAGGATTTTTTTTTTTCCTTTTTCCCTGATGAATAGTTCAGAGATCTAATTATTTTCCTTTTGAACAAGTCATTGATAGCAACAGAGTTTCTACTGTTTTAAGTGATTTTGTTTTAATTCACCACATAAAACAAGATGAAGTCATATATCTTAATAAAAATGCTTTATTTCCTTTTCTGTTTTTTCCCAAGGTACAAGTCATTTTTTTTGTAACTGATATGTTATGCTGTATCACCCTTAAAATTCAGAAATTTCCCAGTTTCTAAATGTATATTTAGCATCAAGACTTGCATTTTTTAGTACAGCATATGTCTGAGAAAACTATAAAGATGACTTTTTTTACGGCTTACAAAGGAATCTGGTGAAAAGACTTGTATTGTTAGAAATAAATAGCAGCTCCTATTATTAGTATTTAAACTATTTATATGTTTGCAGTTTTAATTCAGTCATTACTTAAAAATTAAGATACTGCTGGACATTACTGAAAAAATGTATTAGAAAAATTTTCCAGAATGTTTAAAATTTAAGAAGAAGCAAGAATAAAAAGGAATTTGACTCTATGGGCTCCTTGTTTTAAGTCAAGGCTGTATTCTTCAAAAGATGTCTGTCAATTGATTTTTTTGTGAATGAAGTCATATTTTTTACTGACTTTTATGAAAATTTTAGAGATGTTTATCTTTATTGTTTGCCAGTGATTCCTAACATTTAGCTCCAAGGTTTTTCTGCCTGGCAAGTAAACAATCTAAAAACAGTCCCATGAACCAAACAGTTAATTTTTTTTTGTAAAGAATCCTGTGGAAAATTACTTTCAAAGTAAAGAATCATTTGGCAATATATAAAAACAAATCCTAATTTATCTTTCTGTAAAATGTGACTCTCAATCGTAGTTTTCTGGAAATATTTTCTACCTCTCCCGTGTGTTTTTCAATCAAGAATCATGCTGACTGAACAAATCTAAAGCATTACTATATATCAACCAGAATCTTAATTAAAAGAGCATGTACAATATTTTCATTCCCTTTCGAAAGAATACTTAAGAGTTTTATTTTCCAAGAGTTCACTTATAATTTTCTGAACAATTTCATAACTCTTTTCTATTTACGTAGCGGAAATCTCTTAGAAGAAAATATTTCCTAGGCTGCCCATTCAGTGACTGTCAGCTGGATTTGATTATTTTTCCACAGTAAGTAGGAAACATTGTTGAAATAATTTTGCCAGGGAAGCAAAGCCGGTTGTACATTCTACCTTTTCTGGGATCAAGGTGTTAGTGGCTTGGAAAAGTAACTTTCAAAGTTAGTGTGTTTGTTTTAAATTTCTAAAATAACAACCTATTTCCTGAAAAAAAGGAAGGCAGAATTTTAAGGCTATTAGGCAAAACATAAATGTTTGAGGTCTAGTGATTCTAAAAACTTGTGCCCCCACCCCAAACAATTTGGGATATATAAGCACTTAATATGCCAAAGGAATTGAAATACACAAAATAATCCAATAATCAAGTCATGTTTATATTTGGATAAATTGCCTTAAATATACAGCTTCCACAATTTTCAAATGTCAACCTATGTTTTTTTGAAAAATATAACTAAAATATTATGAATTTAAAATTCCAGTGTAGCTCATGTATACTATATTCATATTAAAAGAGTCAGGTATTGAAAAGAGTCATCATAATATTAAAGCTGAACCAATTCTAATCCATAAGTTTTCTTGCTGCTATTACATAAGTGGCTTCAAAGATGATGATGATGATGATGATGATGATGATGTGTGTGTGTGTGTGTGTATGTGTTTATACATGTTGGAGGTGGAGTTCCCTATTAAATTAGTTTGGAGAAAGGTGATTTATTATGTATCATTAGTCAGCTGTCATTTTTACATCGTCGATATTATTTCTTAAGTAAAAAGACATTGACTCATAAGATATAATATTGTATTTATACAATTCAGAGTTTTAATTATGCATCTTCTTTGTGCTGGGGGCTACAGACATTTTAAAATATTTATATTAAACAAGAATTTCAATTCAGGTGAAAGCATACAATACATACAAGCTTAGAGAAAAGGCAAGATGGTAGAAATAATCATTCTATCTCTTGAACTAGGCATTATGCTAAATGCTTATAAGTGATTACTTCCTTAACTACCTCTACCTCTGTGACGTACTGATATCATGCTGATTTTACAAATGAGGGAATGGAGGAACAGAGAGATTCATTAAATTATCCAAGGCAACACAGCCAGTTAGTAAAGTCAGAAGTCAAACCTAGACACTGGCCCCAGAACTTACGCACTTAGCCACAGCACCATGGTGACTGTTCTTGCACGATTAAATGCCAGAAGGGGTAGTACTGACATCAGTAATTCATGTTGCCTTCAATTAATGCCCATCTCTCTGCCCATACTCTAACTGGCATTTTAAGATTGTTTATGTTTCTTTTTCACTGAACCCAATAAAACAATTCTGAGGTTTCTTATGTTTACCCATTTTAAGAAGGACCTTATATTATCTGGCATTTTGACTAGATGGATAGCAAACACAATTTTTTTATAGTTTATGAAAAAGGAGGAAAAACTTTTTAGCATTTACTGACTAAACAATACTGAAGAAAACCATATTATGACCATCTACTCATTTATCAAAAAGAAAGGTAAAGGTAGACTTCTTTTGATTATTAAAGTCACTGACTGTCTTATGATTACATGATACTGGAGTTTTTCATTGCTTAATTGAATTTTGTGGCTATCAAAGGTCAACATGATGAAAATCATTCTTTTGAAAACTTCCATCGACAGTACAAAGCATTATTTGGTATAGTTATATAAAAGAAAATGTTGGCATAGTTATTTGTTAGCATGTATTGATTTTACCTAAGTCAAATTTGGGTAGTAATTGTCAATTTACTTTTGTTTTTAGATGAATAATTCAATGAAAAAATAGGATTAGTATAAACAGTTGAAAGTCAGTAAATAAAGCAAAGGGTAAGATTTTTATTTTATTTTGTTCCATGAATATGTTACATAAAATTAAGTGTTTGGAAGACAGTTTTTTCTTAAGAGTTATTTTTATTTCTCAAAAAGACAGGTTTTTTTTTTTTTTTTTTTTTTTTTTAGCTGTTTGGAAGCTCGGAGACATATTTGTATTGCAGCCGTAAAAACTATATAGGCATTGCAACAATTGCTTTTACCTGTTCTCTATCCTGGCCTTCTGCTATTTTATTTTATGTGTCTCTTGATTTAATTCTTTTTTTTAACAAGTATATTTTCCAAGCTTCATCAGATGGATATACAGTTGGGGTGCAAATGATGAAACAACACACAGCTCCATCCACCAATTTTTAAAACTCTAGCTAGCATTCAAGATCTGATTGAGGGTTAAAGGGTGGGGAGGACACCCTTCAGGTGATGCAAGACATGATTTTTAAATTTTCTTTAGCTCTCGGAGCTCTTGATTTCATAGGTCATCAAGAAGTCTCACAGTCGTGAAATCTTTTACTTCCTAAATATTTTAATCATCAAGGTTTGCAGCAGAGACAGGAAGAGGAAATGGGCCTCAAAGTCTTATTTTTTTTCATGGAGATATATTTGTCTCTTAAGAATATCTCTTCAACCTCAGAACTTCCTTGATGATTTCTGTTAGGAAAATAAAATCTTAACTTCCATGTTATTACTCATCTTCTACTGCTAACCTTGGAGACTCTAGATGTGATTTTATGAAGGTTTTCTATTGTCAGTGAATCTGAGTACCAGGTAACGTGGCATGGATGCCTCAGTGGTGCCATTTGCTGTTTGCAAGCTCTAGAGTGACATCTCCTGCAGCACCCACACCACCACTATATCTTTTCAATTGACTGCTTTTCCAGGTGCTGAGACCAAGCCTTTGCAGAAGCTTGGTTCAATGAAACATGTGCCAGTGAAACAAGCTACCATGGCCCATCATCATGGCACTGATATTTACCTAGGCAATAGCCTTCTCTTTTCCCATTTCCCCATAGTTTAAATATTTAATAACATATTGACTGATCTGCTGTTATTATTACATGCCAGACACTGATATCTTTAGTGACTTATTCTCACTGTTCCATTATAATTGTGAATAGCTCACACATACCTACACACAGAGTCCTTGTACTTATGGCACTTACATTGAAGGGGAGACACAAAATTTGGCAGATAAATAACTGTTGTAATCCTGGGTTTTGAAAAGTTACAGGTGCAGTAATAGAGAATAATTGGAAGGGTAGATAGGTAATCCAGGAAGATTTCTACAAAGATTTAGTGAGCACATTCAATCTCAGAAGCTGCCCAATGCACATATTTCTACTTTATCATTATTTGTTGGTGTAACTGCTCTGAAATCAATCCAAACTTTTATGAAAGTAGCAGGATAGAAATAATGAGTAGCAGAAATTGCTAGCTAGCAAACTAGTAATATAGATATAGATGAGTATGAGGTTTGGGACCATAAAAAGAAACATAATTGGTAAACTAGTTTCTACTTCAGTGTAGATAATTTCAATTATATGACCAGCAGGTGTCTGATATTAAAGTCCTGCAAATCTTATATCTAAAGTTGTTTACTCATAGTAAATCTTCTGGCGCTTCACTGATCTATACAAAGAGAAAGGAATTGAGCTAAGCTATAGAATGTTGCAAGAGGGAATTTGTGCAAGCTTATTCCAAATTCTGATAAATATGCCTTGAACATTGTAAAGATTTCTGATGACGAACATATATTGAATCAGCTTTAGGATCATTAGGCAGAGAAAACACTGGATTGCTGTTGCTACAGTGCAGTGATTTACCAGCTTTCTTCATGCTCAATTAGAAGTTTCTAGAGCACAGAAGTTATCAAGTCTTCCACAGAGGCTGAAAAGGAGAGCAAAGAACACAGAGTCAAACTCCTATCTTGTTTGGCTAAGTAATTAATTTTAACTGCATTGCAATCTGAAGTCTGTTGTAAAAAGACCGAAGAAGTCAGAGAGAAGCAGTAAAATAGTATGAACTAGGTAGAAGGTAGGATTCCAATGACACACTGGAGGCCAGCTGCAAGGAATATAATTTAAGAAGTCTCGGCCAGGCGGGGTGGCTCACGCCCGTAATCCCAGCACTTTGGGAGGCTAAGGTGGGCAGATCACCTGAGGTCAGGAGTTCGAGACCAGCCTGACCAACATGGAGAAATCCCGTCTCTACTAAAAATACAAAATTAGGTGGGCGTGGTGGCACATGCCTGTGATCCCAGCTACTGGGGAGGCTGAGGCAGGAGAATCGCTTAAACCTGGAAGGTGGAGGTCGCAGTGAGCCGAGATTGCGCCATTGCACTCCAGCCTGGGCGACAAGAGTGAAACTCCATCTCAAAAAAAAAAAAAAAACAAAAACAAAAACAAAAGACCAAAACCAAAAACCAAAAACAAAAAACTAACTTTTGGAAAAAGTATTACAGAAGCAGACAACATAACCATTTTTTCAGAAGTATAGTATGTATAATGAACAGTATTAGATAATAAAATAACTAACCTCCTGCAGATTTAACAACATGCATGCTTCAATTATGCTGCATTGCAAAAAAGAGTTTCCAGTGGTAATATTAGGACTCAAAGACTGTATTAATTATCAAAGAAATATAATTATTTTTATAGACCAATATCTTTATTTAAAAGAAGCTGAAAACACTTTCTTATTTACATTAATGAAAGTCTGTGAAAGTAGAGGGAAAAGAAGCATGCCGTTAATTTTAGTTCATGTTCCTTTATATTTTGCTCTTCTGTCCTCTGACTACCAGCCTTTAATCTCCTTTTTACCCAGATATTCAAGGGTCTTATTGGAACATCTGGAAAATAGCTTATTTATAAACATGATTTTAAGAATTATAATCTTCTATAAGATATAGCTTTACAAATGGAATTAAAAAACAGAAAAGGAGTGACATTACTGTGATTTATAAAAATAAATTGATAAAATAATTGATAATACTTTCTGGATTGATAGAAAAAAAAGAGAAGGGTAAATTATTCACTTTTTATTCACCCCAACATATTTCCTAATGCGTTAATATAACCACAAAGCAAGGCTGGTCACGAGTAAAATTATGAAATAAGTAAAATATATGGGCATTTTTCCAATTAGTTTCTTATTGCTGTATAACAAATTACCACTCATTGGCTAAAAGCAACACAAATTCATTCTCATAATTTCTGAGGGTTAGGAATCTGGGAATGGGTTAACCGAACGCTCTGTTCAGGGTCTTTCACAAAGCTGTGATCAAGTGTTGGCCAGTGTTGGAGTCTCATCTGAAGGCTTGACTGGGGACAAATTAATTTTCAAGCTTATTATCATGGTTGTGGTAGGATTTAATTTTCCAAAGACTGTGAGACTGAGGGCCTGAGTTCTTGATGGCTATTGGCTGGAGACCACAACCACCTTTTGTTCATTGCAGTGTGGGAACATGCAACTTACCTCATCAAACTAGTAAGAGAGAAAGAGCCTGTTAGAAAGGCAGAAGTCACTATCTTATGTAACCTAATCACAGAAATGCTATCCCACAATCTTTGCCATATGCTGTTAAAAGCAAGTCACAGGTTCCACCCAGACTCAGGTGGAGGAGATTTTGTAAGGGTATGAATACTAGGAAGTGAAGGGAAGTTTCGGGGGTCATGTTGGAAGCTGCCTGCTGTATTCTCCAAGTTCATTTCTTTCACTTTCCATTTTTCTGTTTCTTAACTTGTTCACATGCAGAATCTTTATTAGGAACAAAACCAAAACAACTGGCTGTATAATTCCCATGAAGAAATAAATAATCCTATTTTGTCTGCTGTTAAAAAATATATAGTTTGCTTTATTCTACAGAGATGGGAAACTGAAAATTAATGCAGTGAAGAAAACCATAGAAAATAGAAAGTAGAATAGATTGTCAACATGGCATGGAAGAAAAATGGAATATATATTATTCAGCACATAAAGTTTCATGCAGGTGTTATTTCTGCCCTGAGATTTTGGCTTTGATTATCTAAGTCTTAAAGCAATAAGAAAAAATGATTGTTTATATAGTTCTCCATGTCTTTGAATAAAATGTATAACATTTCTTAAGGGAAGCAAAATTTTTCCTGGTACTTATTCTAAAATAATGTGTTTTTGTTTTGTTTTGTTTTAATGGGACTTTATATAAAGCAAACATAGAAGAAGTCATCTACATTTTTTTTTTCTTAGGAGACAGGGTCTTACTCTTGTGGCCCAGGCTAGAGTACAGTGGCATGATTATAGCTCACTGCAGCTGAGACTATAGGTGCAACACCTCCATGCCTGGCTGTTTTTTTAAAAAAAGCTTCCTAGAGACAGGGCCCCACTATGTTGCCCAGGCTGGTTTTGAACTCCTGGACTCAAGTGATGCTGCTACCTCAGCCTCCCAAGTAGCTGAGATTATGGGTGTGAGCCACCACTCCTGGCCTAAAATTTCTTAGCAAATACATATATTGGTTCTGATAGGCTATTCTTGGTATTGCTTCCTGATGAAATCCAAAGCCTACATTAACACACAACTTAAGGGGGAGTGATTCTGTAGAGGACAAAATAATAGGGCCCAGTTGAGCAACTTTCTTATGGCTCAGTTTGATCCCTGAAAATAATTGAGTCTATGTAGATTCTAAGTCTTCTAAGAAACCTCAATACATATTACTTTTCTTAATTGGCTTTTCATAACATTTCTAGCAGTGGACAGTTGGATATTTTACCCTCTGGCCTGGGTGTGTTATACAGATCTCCAGTGTGACAGTTAAGAGTGAATTCACTTGCTTTAGGGATCACATGAAGGTGGTAGACTTGGCATTCTTTGAGCAAAGTATGAAGAAATAACGTTATACCTTAGTTTGTTTTCTGTATTAGGGGATGCCTGGAAAGGCAATGGATAAACTAAAGAAATCAACCTGCAACAGTGAAACTTTAAGTATGATAACACATGACTGAGATCTGTTAGTTTATGGCTGTATATGGAAGTAAATGAGGAATCTGATGCCTTCCAGGCCATAAAATCTCTTGCTGAAGGCTTTTCTGCACATAAGGATTCCTTTAACTGAGGATTATTTAACTAAATCAACTACTTTCTAATCTGTTATATTTGTGGCTATGGAGGCAATGGAGGAAACGAAAAGAGAAATAAAGCAAAATTTGCTTCTTAGACACTAAAAATAGTAACAGTAAGAGAATAGGAGAAGAATTATAGCAGCTAATATTTAAGTGTATATTCCATAAGTGAAATAAAGTCAATGTAATCAATAAATATTTTCATCTTCTGTTCTTTTGGTTAACAGATACTCAAGGTAGAAAGGTCAAAATTCTGTAGTCTTCTGAAAGACTTGAAAATAGAATGACTTTATGTGGCTTTAAAATATCAATTAAGGGGAAGGAAAATTAGTGATAAGATTTTCAAGGGGGCTGAATTGTGCACATGCCATTTTTACATTTATTTTTAATTTACATAGAAGTTAAATGGACTAGATTGGATTTATTTTTTCATGTATTTGTTTTTTTTGTTTTGGTTATATTAGTAGCTTTCTTTTTGTTTTTTAAGCATATTATCAGGCCCGTCCCCATCTTGCAAGATGGTTGTGGAAACAACTGAGAAGCTGGATACTAAGGAAAATTATTTTTATAGACCAATATCTTTATTTAAAAGAAGCTAAAAACACTTTCTTATTTACATTAATGAAAGTCTGTGAAAGTAGAGGGAAAAGAAGCATGCCATTAATTTTAGTTCATGTTCCTTTATATTTTGCTCTTCTGTCCTGTGACTACCAGCCTTTAATCTCCTTTTCACCCAGATATTCAAGAGTCTTATTGGAACATCTGGAAAATAGCTTATTTATAAACAAGCCTGAAGCCAAGAAGGCTGATGGCAGTGGGAAGGTTGAAAAAAGTGACCTCAAGGCTAAAATGCCCAAGAAGGCAAAGTCCCACCGCAACTGAGATCTTGCCTTTTTCAGGGGAATTCGCAGGTATTCCTGATCTGCTATGTATTCCAGAAAGGCCATGGGCAAAAGGAAGTACTCAGCCGATAAATCCAGGATTAAAAAGAAAGAGAAGGAGGTCCTTGCTATGGTTACAAAACCAGTTGGTAGTGACCAGAATAGTGGTACCCATGTGGTTAAACTTTGCAAAATGCCTAGGCACATCAGTAGATGATGTGCCTTTAGGGCTATTGAGCCATGGTAAAAAACACTCCAGTCAGCATATGAGAAAACTGTGAGCCATCATCTCTCCTGGGAACATTCTGCTCATCTTCACTGGGTGCCATCGAAGCAAACAGGTGGTTTTCCTGAAGCAGCTGAGCAGTGTTTTGCTGCTTGTTATTGACTGAAACTTGGATCCTCAATCAAGTTCCTCTGTGTAGAGCACTGAAGAAATTGTCATCACCACCACCACAAAAATTGATATCAGCAATGTGGAAATCTCAAAACATCTTACTGAGGCTTACTTCAGGAAGAAACAGCTGTGGAAGCCCAGACAACAGATGGTGACGTCTTTGGCACAAAGAAAGAAATATGAGAAGGCTGGGTGTTGTGGCTCACGACTGTAATCCCAGCACTTTGGGAGGCTGAGGTGGGCAGATCATGAGGTCAGAAGTTCAAGACCAGCCTGGCCAACATAGTGAAACCTGTCTCTACTAAAAATACAAAAATTAGCCAGGCATGGTGGCGCCTCTAATCCCAGCTACTCGGGAGGCTGAGGCACAAGAATTGCTTGAACCCAGGAGGCGAATGTTGTGGTGAGCTGAGATCGCGCCACCGCACTCCAGCCTGGGCAACAGAGCAAGACTACATCTCAAAAAAAAAAAAAAAAAAAAAAAAGAAAGAAATATGAGATGACAGAGCAGGGCAAGGTTGACCAGGCAGCTGTGGACCCGCAAATTTTACCAAAAACCAAAGCTATTCCTCAGCTCCAGGGATACCTGCAACCTGTTTGGCCTGAAAAACGAAGCTTATTCTTAGAAATTGGTATTATAAATTTCTTACCAGTAACATAGTTAAATAACTGATACATGAAAAAATCAACCAAACAAAAAGAAACATATTATCAGCATCATGGATTTTACCAACACACTTTAGCTGAGTATATTTTATGTGTAAAGAACTACTAATAAGCCACGGAACACCTTGTTACTTCATTATACAGAATTCAGTTGGGGAATCCAGCTACTAATAATATATGTTAGACATTTATGACATATTACATTAAATATCTATGCATAGTATATATTAGTCACTAATAAATGTGAAATGACTTATAAGTGCTATTGAATGTGATAATCAGAATTAAATAAAGTAAACATCACCAGGGTCTCATTAGTTCTCTGAAAAGTTCATATTATAAATGGGCCATTAAAGTTACATGGAAAGTAAGAGTAGAGTTTGGAAGAAATAGAATTAATCTGCCTGATTCTCTACAACCTAAAGTTATGGGATATTACTGGAGTGAGAGCTTTAGTTATATGAATGGCACTATAATATCAGGTGGTTTTAAAATCATCCTTCCATTATTAAGATCCACTTGTAATACTAAAAGAGTTTGTCTTTTTGTAAGGGGAAGGACATTACTACCCTAAAAACAACATATATTCTATTGTGCTACGAATCAAGAGTATACAAGTAGAAAGAACATGGCACATCAAGGCTGAAGAAGGGGCTGATCCTTTATAGCTTAGTTATATTTTTGCTACACTGTTTGGATTCTGAAATAAAGATATATGGTTAAAGAAATATGTTGTGTAGCCGCTTTTATTGACAGAATGAGAATTGATTTTGTGCATGCCATGCAGTCCAATGATATACAGTTGTATATACAAATGATATATAATGTTTCTTGATTTTGAGAAGCTTTTACATGGCCTGGGAACCTAAATACAAACAAAAGAAACCATATAAACTATGTGTAATGGGATAGACAAGTGGGATTATTTCTAGCCATTCATGATGAATACTAAAAGGGTGTTGTGCTCCTCCAGAAGCAAGGAAGAGGAAAACTCAGCAAAGCATGGAAATTAGGCCCTTTTGCCACCAAATTATTTAAAAATACATTGACTACTTACTGTGTTCATTGCGTGGGCAAAAAGAAGAAGCTTCTGCTGTCATATTCTTTTTCTTTTTTCTTTTTTGAGATGGAGTCTCGCTCTGTCACCAGGCTGGAGTTCAGTGGCGTGATCTTGGCTCACTGCAGCCTCCACCTCTTAGGTTCAAGCTATTCTCCTGCCTCAGCTTCCCGAGTAGCTGGGATTACAGGCACGCACTACCATGCCCAGCTAATTTTTGTATTTTTAGTAGAGACAGGGTTTCACCATGTTGGCCAGGATGGTCTCCATCTCTTGACCTTGTTATCCGCCCACCTCAGCCTCCTGAAGTGCTGGGATTACAGGCATGAGCCACTGAGCCAGGTCTTGCTATCATATTCTTAATGAAATAATATTAATTTAATGTGTACATAGTACTTTAACTTTCATAAAGAACTTTAATGTATGATCTTACTTGATTCTCACAGCAGTCCTTCAAAGTAGGCATACTTCTTTATCATCATCTATTTAAAAATGAAATAAATAAGTAATGAAAGTAAAAGTTGAATAAGGTATTTGAAATGCCTTTCTTTCTTAGAGAAGTTATATACTTTTTTGCTTCTTTTTTAATTTTGGAAAGAAAATTTGACTACTTTTGTTATTTCAAGGAGGCTGTGTAGATTGGAAATTATATTTTGTTTGGTTGTTCCTCAAGGTGTATTTTTCTCCCCCATCTAACTTTTGCTCATCAGGACACGCCAAGTTGATGCTACGTAACAGAAAGGTGTTGATGAGAAAGCCTTCATCACCTCATTAGTTTATAGTCAAATGTGATTTACTTGGGAGGAAAGTAGCCACTGTCACCCCACCTGTCAGGATAAAAGAGAATAAAAAGTTACAGCTGTATGCCTAATGTAATTCTGGCTCCATTGGGGAGAATAAAAATAAATGTTCTCATTTTAAATTGCCTCAGGAAAAAGCCCTGAACATTATTAACCTGGCGTAATGTTTTCAGGCAGTCACTACTGTAAAACTCAGGTCCCTGAAAAGCATGATGCAGTAGCCCATATTGGCTTCTTATGGAAATAGTGTTAAATTATGCAACTTCAAGTTTGCCTCAATATATTTTAATAATTTAACACTGCTGTTGATTTCATCAACAGGCAAAAAGTATTGATTCATGAGAAAAAGCACATAATTTCATATGTAAAATCTAGTTAAGCAACAATTAAAAGAAATGCAATATTGTAGTCACCATTATATACCTTTTAAGTCTTGTAGGTAAAGGGAGAAATGATATATATTTGGGAATACTGTAAAAAGATACATGATACTACAGTGGGAAGAAGGGGAACAAACAGGAAAGAGTAAGGTATATCAGGGTTTATGCTGGAGTGTATTGAATTATTAATAAATACTTCAATAGCATCCTGAGATTATAGATAGCATACATGACTTTAAAGGAAAATAAATGTTTCATCTGGGACCAAGTAAAATATCAACAAGTAGGAAGTTTTATCATGTTTCTAACAAATCCCACCCTTCTTGATGCGAATTGTTTTGTTAGTGCTGGTGAAACTGTATACTTGATTTCAGTAATGTTGGGTACCATGTCTATGTTATTTTTCCTATTTTATGGATTTTTTTACCTTTTGATTTGTATTTTGCTTTTGAGTAGGTAAAATTCTTTTACTTTGCCAACCAGTCTTGGAGATAAGTCATAGATATGGTTTCCAATCATTCAAGAAAATACTTCATTTGCTTGTTTGTACTTAGAATCCACTCTGTTTTCTGAATATTTGCCCTTTTGAGTTTCATCAGATTGTGTGTTGTTAGACAGTCCTCACCAGATTCGTGGAGCTTTTGGTTTTTATTAGACATTCTTTGGGTATACTTAGGAAGTAGTTTAATGTCTTTGAATTCAAGTTGCAGAGTCTGATACTTTGCTCACAGTCACAGTGGGAAAATAATGAGAAAAATAACCACCCCAGCCTTTGTTACCATAGCGGAAAGTGAAGGCGAGAGGAAAGGTACTATAAATATACAGTTTCTCCCCGTCTCTACCGAGATGTCATCAAGTATTAAAGCTACTTGTTGCTGAATATGAACACCATATAGAAGTCATTGGTGAGCTTTATTGAAATAACACCATAAACTGAATACAGACTTAGGGTTGAATAGTGGGAAATTATATGCTGCATAAAAGGAAGGAAATTTTCCCTGGTGTTTTAAAACTGCATATGACAGTGTAAATCAGCGATAAAGGCCTGGTAGCTATCAGGAAGAAAGAGAAGCTGTTGAATGGGTTTTGATAATTATCCCAAAGCTTAGATAGACTTCAGCCTTTGATATATGTAGCACAATCTAAAAATAGCTGATTTAATTGCTCAACAGTTGTCTGCTCATTAGGCCTTAACCTTAGTAATGCATCAATGAATGACATCCAAGGCTTCAGCCCTCCAAATCTCTGCACTTGAAAATCCTCTTGTCATGCTCACCTTAATGCTGTTCTCTAAGGAAGGTATTTGCCAATGGGGAAGACTCTTGCATATAGAATATTGGAGTGTGGTTTCAAAACTTAGGTTAAAAGCTGTCAAATCTGTGCCTTGAGTGAAGGCCAAGTTTTCCATAGATCAAAGGTAATTCAGTATTGACTGTAGTCCAACTTCCCCTCAGGCAAAAAATGCCAGTTAAGCTGCTTTGGTTTAAAACAGGATGTCAGGCTAATTTTATCTTTTTTTTTTTTATTAAATTTTCTTGTGCAACTTCTTTATCCAGCTCAGCAATCTGATGCTCTCATTTCTGCATGAGACTGCATTTTTAGAGCGAGGAAATCATGGTCTTATCAAACGGGCAAAACCCTTACTTGGAAATATGGGAAAAGTCATTCTAACCTAGTTGTTCTTCAGTATCTCTTGCCTCCTCCTTAGAAATAGAAATTTTATCAAGGGATGCAGCCTTCAAAACAAAAACTGTATTTTCCCTTCTCCCTTACTACTAGGTGAGGGCTGGTGATTGGGTTCTAGCCAATAGGGTATAAATGGAAGTGATCTGTGCAGTTTCTAGAAGTATCCCCTCAGAAACAGCTGGTGCACATATTTGCCCTTTGGTCTTTGTCTTTTCCATCCTGTGGTTTGGAACATAGATGTGATGGCTGGATTATCATCTTGGAGTATGATTGTGAGGGCTGTATCCTAAAATAACAGAAGAGAAAAGTGTAACAAGTCCCAGTGTCTGAAGACTTTTCAGAACTCCTTTGTCAGCTTTGTAGGACTACAAAGGGCATTGCAGGCTGTTTTGCTTGCCCTGAAACTGTGAAAATCCAGAGGGAAACTAAACTTCTAACTTGTTTATTTTTATTTTTTATTTATTCATTTAAAACTTTTATTTTAGGTTTGGGGGTACATCTGAAGCTGTGTTACATAGGTGAACTTGCTTCGCAGGCATTGGTTGTACAGATTATTTTATCACTCCGGTATTAAGCCTGGTACCCAATATTTATCTTTTCTGCTCTTTTTCCCCATCCTACCCTTCACCCTCATGTAGACCCCACTGTCTGTTGTTCTGTTTTTTGTATTAATGAGTTCTGATCATTTAGCTCCCACTCATAACTGAGAACATGCAGTATTTTGATTTCAGTTCCTGTGTTAGTTTGCTAAGGATAATGGCATCCAGCTCCATCCATTTTCCCACAAAAGACATGATCTTGTTCTTTTTTATAGCTGCATAATAATCCATGGTGTATATGTATCACATTTTCTTTACCCAATCTGTCATTGATGGGCATTTAGGTTGACTCCATGTCTTTGCTATCATGAATAGTGCTGCAATGAACATTCGCGTACATGTGTCTTTATGATAGGATGATTTCTGTTACTCTGGGTATATATCCAGTAATGGGATGGCTGGGTCGAATGGTAGCTCTGCTTTTAGTTCTTTGAGGAATTGCCATACTGCTTTCCACATTGGTTGAACTAATTTACACTCCCACCAACAGTGTATAAGCATTCCTTTTTCTCCACAACCTTGCCAGCGTGTGTTATTTTTTGACTTTTTAATAATAGCCATTCTGATTGGTGTGAGGTGATATCTCATTATGGTTTTGATTTGCATTTCTCTAGTGGTCATTGAGGTTGTTTTTATTTGCTTGTTGGCCGCATGTATGTCTTCTTTTGAAAAGTGTCTGTTCATATCCTTTGCCTACTTTTTTAATGGGGCTTAAACTTCTAACTTATCAAAGCTATAGTATCTAAGTTTTCTAGTATTCATAGCTGAAACTAACATTAATCAATACACCTTTAAAACAGTTTTGTTTTTTATTTGCGTGCTGGAGTTGTTCAGGTGTGATTAAATTAAGCACACCAATACATACATATAGACTTTTTAATGTTATAGTTTGAAAAGCCTACCATAAATACGTGGAACTTCAAGGAATGTTCTTGAAATATATGTATTTTCAAAGGCAGACTTGTTTAAATATGACAGAAAACTAACTTTGGTATGGTGATTTAATGCAATTGTACATGCCTGAGAATCATTCCTATAAAATTGCTAGCAATAAATATTTAAATAAAACTAATTCAATTAAACATTTTTACTTAAGGTAGGGATTTTTATTTGTAATTCCAAAATTCTTTGACTTGGATAAGAACATTTATACTAGCTTTGACCAAATAAAAGTTTTATAAAGCTTGCTTGAAACACAAACTAGTATGCTGGCTTACTAATTTAGTTTTTATCAATGAGCATCACTTTCAGTAGAGATAGGTTGTCTGATAATAACACACAGAGCCATTATGTGTTAATGTGAATAATGTCATCATTTTGGTGAGGCTTCTGTCTTTGCTCTGCCAATTCTTCTTGGTAAATTGTAGACTACATTGCTTTCTGAATTATTCTCTTTCTGTAGGCAGGAGCTTTATAGGCAAAAAAAAAAAAAAAAAAAAAAAATGGGATGTATATTAGCACCATTGCTGTCAAGTACCCTTGCTGTAGAGAAACTTCTCAGACATTAACTTTTCTGCTGTATCTGAATTACCATGTGCTGTTATTTACTTCTCTAAAAGTTCTTCTAAGTATTTTTCTCCATAACTTTAGGCATGTCCACCTCAGTCATCCATGATGATTGCAATTCTCTAGCCAGTCCTTTCCAACCTTTCCAGGATGTCTCTGCTGCTGTCTCCTACTCCCCAATTCTTCCATCTTCTCCTAAACTTTGGAGCATTCTCTAGAAATCAAGAAAAAGGAACAACTGTAGCAATGTGTGGAAATACTTTCAGTTTTTAATAAGCTTTTGCTACTGTTATCTGCAAACACCAATTAAATGTCAACCGGGACGGAAACGTGATGATATCATAATGGATCATGTTCCCAATACTATTTAATGATGGTATTTATTTATCAGATAATTTTACCTGGATTATATTTATATATTAACTTCTAGTTGATTTTTAACAATAAGCCCATTATATCAACCTTATTTATCAAAATTATAGATCATTGTTACAATTTGGTGACACTGACATTTTGCAGACTTGTTTTCTGCTGGGTAATAAACCACCAGAGGTTATGTGGGTGGCTGATGACAAAGAAAATTCAGTTGGTATCTCAAGAGAATTCCTACTTTTGGCCACAGTATCGTCTCATCATTAATGAGATGCACTATTCAAACTTGCACATGCTTCACCGACTATATTGCTTTAGGCATGAATTCAATTTTTAACAGATAGCATAATTTATGAGTCATGTTACCCTGCTATGATTTTTGACAACTGTTAAGTCAGCTAAACAAACCTACCAAAAATGATTGTGTTGCATTGTATATGAATTTCAGAGCATATTTAGAGAGAGAAAGTTAAATTGTCAGTTTCCTTGTCTATTTCCCTTTTGATAAAATGTTTTTCTACAAATTATGTATCACATGGTCTCCTAAGCAGGACTTCCACAATTTTCAACAGCTCTTGTATCCTGGATGTCTTAATGTGAGACTGGTCTGATATGAGTGGTCATGAGTCTTGAAAACAAATGGAACTAGGTTAACATTTTCTGAATATCTTACATAAGAAATGTTAAATTCTTTGCATATTCAAGCCAGTCATCTTTTATATTAAAGTACTAAAGTATTAAATTAATTATGTTCTATATCATGCTTTTGAATTTATGACTCTATGAATCAACATGAGACCACTGAACTTGCAATAGAGTGAAACATTTTTCTGAAGCAATTTCCATACCAAATCTGTTCTTATAAAAGCAACCTTATATAGTCAAGATACACTGATATAAAAGATCAAAAAAGGAACATTCAAAAATCTAAACAAAGAAACATTCAATTGAAGGAAAATCGTAGCACATAAATGCAATCCTGCTCTATGCAGAGATTCTCAAGCCCATGCTTATGGAATCAAGCGAGGCTTGACTGCCTTTGACTATGAATTGCCTAATTTAGTAAACTTTATGTTTTTAGTGTAATAAAAAGGAGCTGAAGAAACACATATATTGTAATGATTTGGTCGTTGTTCTTGGTTAGCCCCCGACAACATCCTTTCAATGAATCTAAATCAAGTGAGTAAAGGGAAGTCTGGGTGTCTCTTAATCATAGCTAAAACTCACCATCACTTTATAGACCCTGAATCATTTTATAATTATATTCTTCATGAAATTTCATGATGACTTTTGGTTGCGTATCATTCACAATAAATTTTCATTTAGACTAAGTGTAAGTTATTAGGCTCTGCATATCACTGTCAAGTAGGAAGACATTAGATTTGATATTTAATGGGTTACTGTGTGATTCCAATATTAAACATTAAACATTTTCTTATATGTAGATGTTGTTACTGACTCATAATAGTTTTGATGTTTTTAAACATGCACTTTTGTAATGTTTTACCATACTTAATCCTCACATCAACCTCTGCTCCCAAAACAAAAATAAAACTAAAATAGTGAAACTAAATTATTATAATAGAATTGAGATTTTGTTTAATGAACGTCCATTCAATCACACTGTCATTCATTTAACAGTTATTGAACACCCACAGGCACTACTGATACCATATTTTCCTTAGTAAACTTTTAAACATAGATTTTTAAAATATCTAGTATGATTTCTAACACAGGCACATGATAAATAGGAGGCTAAAATCCCTCCAAAGACCAAATCAAATCCAGTAGTTCAGTCTCCATGCGTGTACTTTATGAACTAAATAACTGAGAAAATAGGTAAAGGAGAGCCCACTGAAGAGCCAGTTGTTTAATGAAATGTTTCTATAAATGTCTGAATTTAGTATTAGTTCTAAAAATTCTGGTTTTTAATTCCACATAGGCATACTTTGTGATAATAATTTAAAAATATATACCTTTGTGGTATTGTAAAAGGTATTGTGAGTGGTTTTGTGATTAGCTAATCTTTACAGTGTGTTATAAAAAATAAATATAAGAAGGAGGAAGATTGGGGATTTTATTTCTGAAGATGTTTCTCTGCCCTTGAAAACAGAACCAACTCCATACTTAGAGTCTAGAAAATTAGTCTGTTTTTACATTTAATCATGAACATATCAAGAGTCAGATTATAACTTTGTACCAGCCAAAATGACAGCATCAGGTCATTATGCTTGTCTTCCTAACTAATAGAAAAGTTGAACCAAAAATAATTAGACATCTCCTTTTCCACACTTGCCACATACATATCCATCCCACATACTTTTTTTCTGCTTGCCTCTTAGGAGGCTACGAGAAAAGGAAAGAGAAGCTTCCAACCTAGGAAATACCTTAGGGGAGGAGGGACCAAGGAGAAGCTATTTTTAGTTTGGACAGGGGCTGTGTGGTATTAATAGATCTGAACCCTAGAGTCGGATTGGGGCTAGTCTTTTGGGAATGTTACACATATTTTGTTAGGATGATACCTGGAGGCCCAACATTGCCCCCTCTCTTCACTTCAGAAAAACACAGATGAGGTCTTCTGTAGGAGTACAGTTGTTCAGGAAGAACCTAAACACTGTCTTATTTAGTGGCATTTATCTCAAGGGGATGGATGCTTAGACATATGGAAATTTTGTACCCTGGCTGACTCAGTGTTTTTTTCATTTTTACTTTTTTCTCTTTGTTCATAGATTTCATTTTAGGGGCCACTTCATTTTGCAGACCTATGTGTTAAATAGTACTTAATTCTAATGTACCATGCAAATGACTAATGTTATAGCAGGACTCAATGTACATCATAAGCCACATAAAAATCTATCCAAGTAATTATATCAAAGCCTTTTCATGGTTATTTTTATATAAGTAAAATAGGGAGCATTTTCATAAAATATTCTAGTTGATCTTTTTTTTTTCAGGTAAAGTGAATTTGAAAAAACAAAAGCAAAAAGAGGAGAGGTTTTGAAACAGCTTAGATTACTTTTTCTATCTCTCCACCATTTTCTTATTAATGGTGGCATCCCCATCCACTTTTAATCTTTGCAAATGTGACCATAGTTTTCACAGCTCATGATATACCTTTATAGTAGTATGCGGTTGAATATACACTTCTAGTCCTTTAGAATGCCACTAACGATCTCTTTTAATAGTCTGAATTTGTTTATTTATGAAATAGAATCCTCTTATTTTCCAAGCATATATTATATATTAAACTTTCCTGATGTCTTAAAATACAATTTACTATAAGAGACAGAGGCTAGAGTCAGAGAAAGGGAAAAGGATGTATCTTCTAGTGATTATTTTTATGCTTTGGAAAAATTAAACAATTGCCTACCCATGTATAAGATTATATTTACAATACTCTCACACAAATCTGTATATAACTAAAGAACTAAAACATATTGGCTTTACAGTAGTTGACTACTGGTTATTTAAGTAGCTAATTTGGAGGTAAATACTCAAGGTTAGCTAGACTAAAAAGAAAACTGTACATGAAATATTATAAAACATTATTATTTTGTTCATATTGACATAAATGTATTTTTCTAAATGTAGGAACAAATATATTTCTAAATGTAGGATCATCAGGAGTCAACAAAGTCTTTTCATTAACCGCTGTATAGTAAATATTTTAGACCTCATGCACTATAAAGTTTTTGCCACAGTGACTCAGCTCTGTCCTTGTAGCTCAAAACTAGCCATAGACATTATGTAAATAAATTAGTGTGGTTGTGTTTCAGTAAGACTTTATTTTTGAACCCTGAAACTTGAATTTTATATAATTTCCACATGCCACAAAATATTATTCATCTGATTTTTGTCCTAACCATTTAAAAATGCAAGATCCATTTTTAGCTCATGAGCCATGCAGAAAGAGAAAGTGGGAGGATTTGGCCCATGTACCCTGTTTGCTGACTCCTAAAGTAATTTATATGCCAACTTTTATCATTTATTCTGACAAGGGTATGCTCTTTAAAATCTGCTGTGATTTTAGTTTTAACATTTTCCGAAGTTACATGATTGATTTCATATCATACTCAAAAGCAGGCCTAAATCATATACTACCAAAACCATATCATGTGAAAGTTTTTAAAAGTATCTCACCAGATTTCTCAATATAAAGGGATTTTTCGTATTACCTTTTTGTCCTTTTCCAAAGCATCATTTTTGGAATTAGGTGGGGCCCTGACTTACTGCTTTCTCTGTAGTGTGTAGAATTTTACTTTTAAAGAGCAGTGATAAGACACACAAGTCAGTGAACTGGACATTAAAAGGTCTGTATCATTCTAAAATTTAAAGAAAAGGAAGTTGGTTTGTCCTGGTATCAAAACTAACATAAATTTCCATAGTGGCTGTACTAGTTTGCATTCCCACCAGCAGTGTAGAAGTGTTGCCTTTCCACTGCTTCCATGACAACATCTATTATTTTTTGATTTTTTGATTATGGCCATTCTTGCAGGAGTAAGGTGGTATTGCATTGTGGTTTTAATTTGCATTTCTCGATCATTAGTGATGTCGAGCATTTTTTTCATATGTTTGTTGGCCATTTGTATATCTTCTTTTGAGAATTGTCTGTTCATGTCTTCTGCCCACTTTTCGATGGAATTATTTGTTTTATTCTTGCTAATTTGTTTGAGTTCATTGTAGATTCTGGATATTAGTCCTTTGTCAGATGTATAGATTTTCTTTGTCCTTTGTCAGATGTATAGAAGATTTTCTCCCAGCTGTGGGTTGTCTGTTGTTGACTGTTCTTTTGCCATGCAAAAGCTCTTTAAGTCCCAGCTATTTATCTTTGTTTTTATTGCATTTGCTTTTGGGTTCTTGGTCATAAAATCCTTGCTGAAGCCAATGTTTAGAAGGGTTTTTCTGATGTTATCTTCTAGAATTTTTAGAGTTTCAGGTCTTAGATTTAAGTCCTGTATCCATCTTGAGTTGATTTTTGCAAGAGGTAAGAGATGAGGATACAGTTTCATTCTTCTACATGTGGCTTGCCAATTATCCCAGCACCATCTGTTGAATAGGGTGTCCTTTCCCCATGTATGTTTTTGTTTTCTATGTTGAAGATCAGTTGGCTGTAAGTATTTAGGGTATTTAGGTTTATTTCTGTGTTCTCTATTGTGTTCCATTGGTCTATGTGCCCATTTTTATACCAGTACCATGCTGTTTTGGTGACTGTGGCCTTATAGTATAGTTTGAAATCAGGTAATGTGATGCCTCCACATTTGTTCTTTTTGCTTAGTCTTGCTTTGGCTACGCAGTCTCTTTTTTGGTTTCATATGAATTTTAGGATTTTTTTTTCTAGTTCTGTGAAGAATGATCATGGTATTTTGATGGGAATTGCATTGAATTTGTAGATTGCTTTTGGCAATATGGTCATTTTCACAATATTGATTCTACCCATCCAGAAGCATGGGATATGTTTCTATTTGTTTGTGTCGTCTATGATTTCTTTCAGCAGTGTTTTGTAGTTTTACTTGTAGAGATCTTTCTCCTCCTTGGTTAGGTATATTCCTAAATATTTTATTTTATTTTATTTGCAGCTATTGTAAAAGGAGTTGAGTTCTTGATTTGATTCTCAGCTTGGTCACTGTTGGTGTATAGGAGAGCTACTGATTTGTGTACATTCATTTTGCATACCGAAACTTTGCTGAAATATTTTATCAGTTCTAGGAGCTTTTTGGAGGAGTCTTTAAGGTTTTCTATGCATGGAATCATATCATCACAACCAAAATGGAAAACAGTGTGGAGATTCCTTAAAGCACTAAAAGTAGGACTACCATTTGATTCAGCAATCCCACTACTGAGTACCTATCCAGAGGAAAAGAAGTCATTACACAAAAAAGAAACACGCTCACGCATGTTTGTAGCAGGTTAATTCGCAATTGCAAAAATATGAAACCAACCAAAATGCCCATTAACCAAAGAGGGGATAAAGAAACTGTGATATATATATACATACATACATACATATATATATATATATATATATATATATATACACATACATATATATATATATATACACATACATATATATATACATACATATATATATACATACACACATATATACATATACATATACATATATATACATACACACATATATATACATATACATATATATACACACACATATATACACACACATATATATATATACATATATATATACACACACACATGTATATAGATGAAATGCTACTCAGCCATAAAACGGAATAAATTAATGGCATTTGCAGCAACCTGGATGGGATTCGAGACTATTATTCTAAGCGAAGTAACTCAGGAATGGAAAACAAAACATCATATGTTCTCACTCATAAGTGAGAGATAAACTACGAGGATGCAAAGGCAGAAGAATGACACAATGGACTTTGGGGACTCATAAGGAAAGGGTGGGAATGGAGTGAGGGATAAAAGACTACAAAATGGGTTCAGTGTATACTGCTCAGGAGATGGGTGCAGCAAATCTCACAAATCACCGCTAAAGAACTTACTTATGTAACCAGATAGCACCTGTTCCCCAAAAGCCTATGGAAATAAAAAAAAATAACCTAACATAAATTATAATAAAAGTATTTGGAAATTATTTTTCTGTATGTTATAACTTTTTCTCATAAGAGATGATCCCAATAATTTCTAGTGATGACAATTATTTCTCAACATGTGGTTAAAAGCAAAGAGAAAATAAATCCATCAAGTAAAAATGAAAATTAAGACTTTCGAGTGTTCACTGCTCAAAATAGTTTACCAGTCATGTTGAGAAATTTAATCTTCCAAGTAGAAGTTTCTGTGGGTAGAATACTAACCTAGCTTTTTTTTTTCTTTTTCCACTCATACTAGTTAGTGTGGAAGGAGAATCCTCCAAGCAAGATGAATATAATTCATATCAAATCTAATCTTGGAAAGTTACAAACATTGGACCTCTAATAGTTTCTACATATTTTTTAGCTGCAGAAAAAAACCTATTTAGGCATTTGTTAATGCACAAGGTCATAAGTTGTAAACAATTTACTCTACACACTACTTTATATATTTTGATATAACTCTAGAAATTAGAATCTAATCATTCTTAGTGCTAAATGACTCAAACAAATAAAATATTTGTATGAATGGCTGGAAGTAGAAAGTAATATTCTTGTTAATTAAGTGAACCAGTCATCGATCCAGGTTATCCCATGTTATTGACTGCTCTTTAGTCACAGACACATGCTTGCAGAGAAGACAGCCCATGTTTATCAAACATGAATAAAACTACATTGGTTCAGCTTGGTTATTTGTTATGGACTAAACTGTGTTGTCCTTCACCCTCAAAATTTACACGTTGAAGCAGAACTCCCTACGTGACAATATTTGGAGATGGGGACTTTAGAAGATAATTAGACTTAGATGAGGTCGTGAGCATGGTACCCTATGACAGGATTACTGCCATCATAAGAAAAAATGCCAGGGCACTTGCTCTCTTTCTCTCTCTGCCACGTGAAGAAACAGTAAGAAGGCAGCTGACTACAAGCCGGGAAGAAAGCCCTCACCAGAACCCAACCATGCTGGCATGCTGATCTTGGACTTTCTAGTCTACAGAATTGTTAGAAATAAATTTCCATTGTTTAAGCCTCCCAGTCTGTAGTATTTTATTATGGAAACCTGAGCAGACTAATACATCACCTCTTTCAAATTTTACAGTGAGAAGCAATTTTAATCATAAATTTCAACACGATTCAAGAAATGAAATTGCAGGACTCTGGGAGTTTTTATTTGCTCACATTTCCATATCTGTCTGTAGGTTGGTCTAACAGGAATGACTCAGTCAAAACAAGTCCTTCTGCCTAGTTCAGTTCATTCATCTGGATACAGGGTATATGTGATGGAACTAAACACTAATATTTCAAAACTTCTTTCACTGCAATTTTATGTACATATAAATAAAATGATTTGTTTTTGTTTTCAAATGATACTGATACCTGCCTTAATTGTCTACTTTACTTTCAATATGATCTACACAGCAAGAAAGTGAAATAAATAATGTTTATATCACTAAAAATGAAATGTATTTCTATACATTATAGGAAATGATTATGCTTTTTGGAGGGAACTTAGATAAAACTTAAAAGTTACCACTTTTGTCCAAAAAATAAGCTGGCAATTTAGCTAAGTACCTAGTTTTACAAAAATATATAGTTTCTGTTCCTATTAAAATGTTATTTTAAATGCAAGAGATCAGTTAGGTTCATCAGAAACTTATTAGGTATCTACTACTTGTAGTACAGTGGATAAATATAATTATTACCTGTTTTATGCTGCTTGAATTCCCTATATGACTGGATCTTTTTTGGAAATATTGATAGGTTATACATAGGGTTTTCATTGGTGTTTTAGTGTAAGTTTGAAAGAAAACAGAAATGATCAAAACTGGTATTGTTTTTCTGAAAGTGAAAATATTGTGAAGTTATTTTTGTGGATTATTTTAGATAATGTAAACAAAGATAATTAATAGGTTGTTTCAAATATTGTTACTAATATTTAATGGTATGAAAAAATGGTCCTATGTTGTTAAATAAAAAATGGTGAAAAAGAACAGGTAGCTCTCAAAAACATTATTTAAGTTTTCTAGGCAAATATATATTACTATTCTATTAAGTAATCACACCAAGAAATGATATTAAAATGGATAATCTAGGAAATCCTCCAGTCTTGGACAAAAGTTGTGTGAGGGTTACATTTTTCCCATGGAAATTATATTATTCATGGTGTTCGGTTTTTGCAACTCCCCCCAAATCCTATATAATTTATCATTTCTATATTTTTTATACTCCAGACCAGTACTATCCAAAATAACTTTCTGTAATGATGGAAAGGTCTTCATATCTACATTGTCCATTGTGGTAATCACTAGACACATGTGGCCACTGAGCACTTAAAATGTGGCTGCTATGATTGAAGAATTGAATATCTGATTTACTTAATTAGCTAAAATTTAAATATAAAAATTGTAGTAGCATGAAATATTTTTCCATTTAACTAATTTTATTGTTTGAGTGGGACTATATTTGACTTTTACCTTTGCATTATTCTCCTGGAGTGTGCGTGCGTTGGATCTACGTGTTGTTCCTATGATTGCAGGCAAACACATCTCCAATCTAGTTATATTCAATGGATTGAATAATCTGAATGATTATTTTCAATGATTGCTGTAACATTGCAACTTTTTTTTGAATATTTTCTGCAGACAGCATGAGTTGTAGTAATATCTGTGTAAGTTAGGATTGGTAATTAAGTTGAAATACATATTATTATTTTAATTATAATATAAAATATCTTGCCAGTTGAAAAGAATAAGTACGGATAAAATTTCAAATTAAAAATGAAGGTATGCTATTGATACAGAATCCAGGAGAGATACTAGTACAACTGCTATGGAACTGTATAGATAAAGAGAAACTGGAAAAAACTATGTTGCAAACTGCAGAGTAAGTAACATTTTCAATTTGTTGTGATGAAGCAAAATTAAAAAGATGTTTGTTGTGCAAGAAATAATTGAACAGAATATAGAGTGATTTTTGTGTATTAGTCCATTCTCACACTGCTATAAAGAATTACCTGGGACTGGGTAATTTATGAAGAAAAGAGGCTTAATTGACTCAGTTTCTCAGGCTGTACAGGAGGCATGGCTAAGGAAGCCTCAGAAAACTTACAATCATGGCAGAAGGCGAAGGGGAAGCAAGCAAAAAATTGAAGATCTTTAGGCCACTGTCTTTAGAATACAAAAATTTCCACCAGTATCAAATATCATTTCTTTCAACATTTAGAAAATTATAAGGTTTTAAAAAAACTTTTAGATGATTTATGTGGTATGAAACAATGCCCAGTTAATACTTTGGATACATTTTGTATCAGAAGATTTTTAAATTGAAAAAGAAATGTTACCAATTTGTGGCCTAAAATATTAAACTTTTGGCATGGATATTCAACATTTTATATATCTATCAAAGAAAAGTTTTCAGCTAACACGAAAAATTAGTTTCAATCATAGCAAGCAATGCTGTAGTTTCGTTTGGTTTAAAAAAATCAAATTTTAAAGTAAAATATTGGTATTTCCCTTATCGCTTTGCTCAGTTGCAAGATACATGTTAAAACTACTTGTAAAAAAAATTGTGCATTGTTTCCTGAAATAGATTGTATAAAATCAATTTCTACCAAAGTATCTAATACAAAATAGATGATCAATACATATTTCAAAGAAATAGATAAATTATTAAATGAATAAGTAAATGTGTGAATGAACAGTCAGACAAAAGCATTAGTTTGTAGTTGCAGGCTAAATAAAGCAATAAATCTTTTCTTTTTGGTGCTTATAGATTAAGAATTTATTCTCCTTCAACTCCTTCCTCTTCTTTCTATTGATTTAAGTTCCCAGGGACAAATGTTCTAACTAGGTTGACCATATGTTCCAGTTTGCTCAGCCATTCTTACTGTGTCCCCCCTCTTTTTTTTTCTGTTGTCACTGTTCACCCTACTGGTGAGAGAAGGTTTCTCCATCCTAGGGTTATGGGGATGTGTATCAAATCCACAGTCTTGACGCTGGATAGATGAGACTGATAGCAATATTTTACTTATATATACTCATAGCTTCGGTGGGGGAGGAGGACATGGCATGCTATGCAGAACTACACGGGCCTGCACTTGGGAACAGAGTGAACAGTCAAGAGATATGGAAGGCAAGCAAGCTTTGTAGTATATAGAGGGTGGTTGCTGTCTGGTTCCCAAGGAAGGATGTGATTGGATTGTTTGAATCAAATTCTGCAAACTGGCAGGGAACCGAAGCCTGACACTCAGGCATAAGCAGAAAGTGCTCCTGTTCCCCCTAATAAAAATTGTTCTGCGAGGGTACTTGATTCAAGAGAGCAAAGTAGTAGGGAAACTTGCGGTTATGCCCCTTGCCCTCCAATTTCACCAGATTTCAAGGTAACATGTAGTATTGAGCCTTGATTTTAGACCTTACAAAACAGCCCCTCTATTAAAAATGTCCCCTTGTGGATTAAAAGCTATACGATTTTCATAGTTATGGATGGATTTCATAAGCTTCATAGGTTCCTTTGGCCCAAGAGACAAAATGAAATCACCACGTTTAACCTTCTCTGATTTCTAAAGCAAGCACATAAGCCATATAGGTTTTGGAATAGTAAATCTTTTACAACTAATAAAAACAGATAAGGGATTATAAGTTTCCACCCCTATTTTTGCCTATTGATATTCATCATTTCCCTTCCTAACACATTCAATTTTCTTTCTTTTTAGACATTAAGCAAAAGGCGCAGATGTACTAAGTTGATAATGATATCCTTCATAGACATAAACACATGTGATAAGACTCATTTATATTTCAAAGCACATTGTGATTTAAAGAATCAGTTGGGCAGTCTGTTCTGAGACTTTAAAATGGGGTCATGGATTATCTTCTTTTATTATTATTCTTTTTTTTCAGACGAGTCTCGCTCTGTCCCCCAGGCTGGAGTGCAATGGCACGATCTCGGCTCACTGCAAGCTCCGCCTCCCGGGTTCAAGCAATTCTGTTTCAGCCTCCCGAGTGGCTAGGATTACAGGCGCCCGCCACCAGGCCCTGCTAATTTTTGTGTATTTTTAGTAGAGACGGGGTTTCAGCATCTTAGCAGGGCTGGTCTGGAACTCCTGTTCTCGTGATCCACCCTCCTCGGCCTCCCAAAGTGTTGGGATTACAGGCGTGAGCCACCGCGCCCGGCCGGATTATCTTCTTAAAAGGTGAGGGATATGGGAAGCATATGTGTTTTTGGAGCAGGGTGTGTATGAGGAAATGCAGACTGATGTTCACCCTTTTCTTCCCTTTGTCAGTAGGGATACACGCCAGACTATCAGTTAGAAAAATATGACAAGTTTAAACCAGTCTGAGGTAAATGTGACAAAAATTGAAAAAAAAAATGACTTCAGGAAGGTCTTAGCAGTAGGTGTCAATAAGTAAAAAGTCACAAGCTATAGTATGTGAAAGAGAATGAGAGTTTCCCTATGGGAGTCACTAAAATATAAAGGACATTTTAAGCTAATTATACATTAATTGGCAACTCATCAGCCTGAAAGGTGGGTTATATTCTGTGACTACCATCATCACAAGGATTCTTCTTTAAGAAACTTAATTGTTTCCACATTAGTAAATAAGTAATAGTATTTGTAGTCTTAGAATATTTGAAGCTGAGGTTACTATACTGAGCTAGAGGTTATAGTATCTTTTTTTTTTTTTTTTTTTTTTGAGACAAAGTTTTGCTCTGTCGCCCAGTCTGGAGTGCAGTGGCACGATCTCTGCTCACTGCAACCTCTGCCTCCAGGGTTCAAGTGTTTCTCCAGCCTCAGCCTCCCTAGTAGCTGGGACTACAGGCATGCACCACCGCGTCTGGGTAATTTTTGTATTTTTAGTAGAAACCGGGTTTCACCATGTTGTGGCCAGGGTGGTCTCGAACTCCTGACCTCAGGTGATCTCCCCGCCTCGGCCTCCCCAAAGTGCTGGGATTACAGGTGTGAGGCATTGCATTTAGGTAGTATCTAATTTCTATAATATATCCAGATTCTAGTATACTGGGAAAAGAAAACAACTAGAAATAGTAGTGTGCTAAGTATTTTTATTAGCATTTTAACCATAGAGAGCAAATCTTGAATCTTGCCAAGAGAATTTCAAAAACATCAGACCAATGTTAATTTAGTACAACAAACTGGAGGGAGAGTCAATAGATAACTTATTTATAAATTGGTGTAATTAGAGGATGCTTTCTAGACTTAAGTGAATACCCATATAATAAAGAGTCTGACTTCAAATATATTTTAATATAGTTATTGATATATTTTGCTTTTAGTCCTCCTCACCTCATAGAATAACTTTTTTCTTATATTTTGAACTCAGCTCATAACTTTCTTTAGAAGGCATATTCCTCAATTAAGAAAGATGTGTCATATGACTGGCTACATAATTTTATTAATGTTGGTGTAACATTAATAAACTATAGAAATATTTGGAACAAAATGTTATATTATGTTGACAATGTACCCTTGTGCCTGTTTGAAGTGCCATTTATATCATTACATTTAGTTGGAAATTAATTAGTTTATTATACAATTTAAAATATCTTAATATTTTTAGGAGACAGTTTTATTAGCATGGTTAAGTATCTATAGCATCCAATGTAACCACATTAGAGAAAGAAAAGGTAACAGATGATGAGCAAACAGCTGGGAAGGAAACAAGAGGGCCCAGACTGCCTTAGTTTTAGTTGAGAAGAAAATATGTTTCAGTAAAATTCAGTGCTAGGGAGGCATTTACAATAATTCATTATGGCCCCAACAGTTTATCTTCAGGAAGAGAGTAGAGGTATGTGAGATGAAGTGATAAGAAAAAAGTTGAGTCAGGATTTTTTTCCCAACATATTTAAAAACTGTGGAAATTCCCTCCACATCCAATTTTGTGTCATCAAGAACAGAAATTAAAGAAGGCTTGATTTATTATCTAGTCTCCGAATACACAGTACCTTCCAGATGACAGAAAAGAACTATTAATCAGGTTCAGAAGATTAAATCAACATTCTTGGTAATAGAACATAGTGTGAAATTTTTGTGTTATCAGATTTGTGCAATCACATTAAGGGCTTTGAGATGCCATATAAAATCGTATTTTTTTCTGAATTGTCAAATATAAACTAACTAAAAAACTCTTAAGATGATTTTCTAAATTGTGTGTACTCTACAAGTGACAATCAACTGGTATTTCTGAGAACAGGAAAATAAATCAAGTTGATCCAGGTAACATGAATGAAATTAAATTCATATGGTATTCTTGGATCATTTAGAAATGACTTTTCTTTTATATTTTTAAAAATATAAAAATTTTTATATTTTTAAATTTTAAAAACAATTTTAAAATTTTAAAAAGAAATGACTGTTATTTTTTTAAAATAGAAATATATATAACATGGAAGAGAAATTAGAATTTAAAAAATCTCATATTAAAGTCTATACATGTTTATAATAATAATATGTAGCATAATACCATTTGCATCATCTAGCAATTTATTATAGATGTGTTTTTTCTTATTGATTGGCTGCTAAGGTATCCCCCAACACACTCTCAGCAAATCTATCAGGGAAAGGAGGCATTTTTAGATATCTCCTTAACCAATTCATTTGTACTTATAAATAACAAAAAACAAACTTGACCACCTTAAATTAGTTCATCATCAAATTGCATTCCCTTTCCTTGAAAAAAAATATGATATATACATTTTTCTTTTTTGGTCTTGGCCAATGCCTGTCTGAATGAGTGCAGGGATTTTCTTATTGGACCCATTACCTCAACCACCACCTCACTAAGGCAAATCCTCATCAACATTAAGATCTTGAGCTGAGTGCCAGAAAAAGTGTCTTATTATCTCACAGACTTTCTTGAAGATTATCATTTTTATTGCCTTCCATCCTTTTTAAAATAATTTTTCTGAGAAGCAGAGTATTTTGTTTTTCAGATATTTAAATAGAAATTTGAAGACCACTTTAAAACTCATAAGAAACGAATAAAATCTATCAACTATTAGTTATTTAGTTTGGATTTATTCCATGCAATAAATAAATCAACTGACTTTAAAAAATACAAGCAAAAACATTACTATGCTTGGTGTTACCCCACCCTAAGTCTGTAGAACTTGGGCTAGTCCCACATAGAGAAACCAGTCACCAACATAATTTTCTTTCCTTTTGAAGGCCTCTTTAAAGAGATGATAATGCTCCTGCTTTCCTGACTAATGCGTAGACCTGAGCTCAGTGCTTGAGGAGAAAATCATCTCTTATATTCTCACTCAGTCACCTCAGGCTGTCTTCTTTTCTATTGTTTGCCTTGATTCATCTTACCCCCATGTATAAACCTGTCTCTTGAATCCACTGCTGTACAGCTGTCCATACTCTTAATTATTCTAACTCTGGGTTTTCTCAACTAGGCCTTCCACATTTGCAGAGCTAAGTAAATTTGTTTTCTAATCATAGGAAATCAAATGATCCTGCTTCATGTAGATATGGCCTATGAATATAAATACCTAAAATTTTACCTCTGACAGACATGTTTTGGATATCCAGGTGTTTATTTAGTTCTCATTTCATATGAGAACCCCGAGTGCCATTACATGAAAGAGCACTTTCAAATTGTAAATTTTAAATGCAGCCACAGGAATGAGAAGAATGAAAATGTCATTACCTTAGAAGTAGTGAGCACAAAGTAACAATAGTCAGGTTAATTAAAACCCAGTCAAAATAAAGGAACACTGGAAGGACACCTCAGAAACTAAGAACAGTGTTTACCTAATGAGGTGTGGGGATGGGAACTCCTCAGAAATGGGAAAGGATGGCGGAAGAAACGTTTTATCATGGAGCTGATTATATCTTCTGGACTTGGATCTATAGGAATGTATTGGCTATTCAAATAATTAAAAATTAGTAAAGCAATACATGGACTGTTTAACAAGACCCGATCTTCTGTTTTCTTACACTGTTCTTTCTATTTGCAATTACAATGTTGTGAAACAATGGCGTGGCAGTTTCTGTGCTGCACCATGGTGGAAATGAGACTACTCTAGGTCACAGCCTTAGCTCTGTTAAAAAGGCGGTGACTTTCCTACAACTGGGAGGAGATGCTGGCTGGTGGGATGTAGCAGCCTTGAGTCAGGGCAGTGACAGTAGAAAGTGAAGAAAATGGGGAAATGTCTCTGTTTAATGGCTGTGAATTCTAGAGAGACATGAGGAAACCAATAAAGTTTTGTCTCATGCTATACACAGAAGATTCTAGGACTTGTATCATAAATGTTGAACCCACTCTCTCAACTGACCTCCACAAGGCACTGTGAACACTCCTACTCTTTCTTGAATGCTTTTAAACAAGTCTGTGTTAATGGGCCAAGTCTGGCCTGCCATCTATTTTTATAAATAAGCTTGTATTGTAACTCAATCAAGTTCATTTGTTTACATGTTGTCTATGACCACTTTTGCACTAAAGTGGAAGAATTGAGTAATTGCAATAGAGACTATATGGCTCACAAAACCTAAAATATTAATATCTGTCTCTTAACAAATAAAAATTTGCCCATCTCTGCTCTGAAAGAATGTAAGTTTTTCTACACAGTGTGACATCACTGGGCAGTTAATGTCATAAACTTACTGGACACAGGCATTTTTCAGTAGGTTTCCACTCCTCATAGTCTGGAGATGGTGTTCCACACACAAGAAGAAAGAAAGAAAGGAAAGAAGAGAGGGAGGGAAAAAGGTAGAGAAGAAGGAAGAGAACAGAAGAGTGATACGTTGATCTAGATTACCATAGAAACAGTCTCTGAGATGGAGATTTGCTTGCAGAAAATGCTTTGAGGAATGCCCTCAACACTACAGAGAGAGAGAGAGGAGTGGGATTAGGGAGAGGCAGAAGTTAAACTGTAATGCATGGCCTGCATTCCTGCCACCATGGCTTCTCCATGGTACTCCCATTGTGCCAGCATTGGAATTTCAATGGCACAGGGAGAGTGATGTGAACTAGCCCTGGTCACTCTGTTTACTGGGTTGTTTAATGCCCCTTCAATGGTAGATGCATTTTGGGGGGATGATATGAGATCTTTATACTTCATGTCCACCTGTTTAAGGCCATCCTCACGCATCATTCATCCTTGCCTTGATATTCTACTCTTTTTCTTTCAGGCACCTATCCAGTAGCCAAGCCATTAAGCACTACCTTTGAGCCATATGTTTATCCTGCAGGCTATTTTTCTTTCTACAAAGTGGATGACTAGGTTACATGATCAAGGCTATGTACATTGGGAAGATTTACTTTTGCTGTTGTCGTTCACCTGGGGAGGGGGCCATAGCATAGTGAAGCCACAGTCCATTTTTGATTGGTACTCCCATGTCAAGCCGTGATGTCATTAATATAGTGGACCAACATAATATTCTGAAGAATGTACAAATATGTTAATGAATGTGTTTCCATATATATATATATTTTACTGATAGAATGTTTTCTGAAATATTTGTAAAATATGTAAGAAATTATAAAAAATGACTTTTGTTCTGTTTGAAAATATTTTTTGTAGTTTAGTTGCAATTCACAAAAATAAAAATAATTGTATAGAGTCTGCTACAGGTTGATTGTTTATTCCATCCAAAACTCATGTTGAAACTTAATCCTCAATGTGACAGTATTGAGAGAGGTGGGGCCTTTAAGAGGTGATTGGGTCATGAGAGCTCTGCCTTCATAAATGAATTAATCTATTCATGGGTTACTAGGTTACTGGATTAATGGGTTAATGAATTAATAAGTTATCATGGGAGTGGGACTGGTGGCTTTATAAGACAAGGAAGAGAAATTTGAGCTAGAACTCTCAGCCCCCACACCATGTGATACCTGTGTTGCCCCTGGACTCTGCAGAGTCACCACCAGTAAAAAGGTCCTCACCAGATGCAGCCCCTCAACCTGGAACTTCTCAGCCTTTAAGCCATAAGAAATTCTTTATTTTCTTTACAAATTACCCAATTTCATGTATTATGTTATAAGCAACAGAAAATGGACTAGGAGGAGTCTACTGACTCCAGTAGGAACTGTAGTTAGCAGTACCATCCTTAGACTCTGCCACAGAGATCCCTTCCATGAACCCCACATTTTAGAGGTTCATTGACCACAGCCTACTTCACTGGGAATCTGTATGTCAAAAGGGATGTGTCTGCACTGTTATTACCATCCCCCATTTCCTCAGATCATGCTCCTGGTTCTGGAATCTTGGAATTTCCTACTCAAAGAGCCTTGAGCACATTTCCTGAGTCTTTGTAGGATCTTCCCCTGGATCTATCTTCCTAGACCTCACTTTCTTTGTCTCTTGAGAGAATTAATGATTAGGTGCTGTCTTTAAAATAAAATTGTTTAAAACCAACAGATTAAAAAACTTAAAGAGGTATTTTATTGGATTTCCAGTTGGAGGGAAAGGAAATTTGTTTATAGAGAACTGTAGAGGAAAATCTTATTCCAGTTTTTCAATTTCAGAAGTTTCCCTTCTCCTTGCTTAGGGGCAGAATAACATTCATGGCTTAATCACACTTTTTGGGTTCCAGATGCCCCCGTACACCCCTCAGTGTTTTCCCAGAGAAAGTGAACATCTATTCTGACCTTGTCCTTATGAACTAATGGTAGAAAAATATTAGAGCTAATGTGTGTTGATTGATACGTATCATTTACATATAATTTATATGTGATATGCATTATATAAAATTTATATATAAATTATTTTCATTCTCATTGCTGAAAATTTTAAATATCAAGTTTTGTAATTATATGGGAAAATTTAAACACTGACAGCCCCAATTTCTGTAGCTCTGAATAGTTCTTCTCACAGAAGCCCACACGAGAGCGTTAATAAATATACTTCAATGTTTATGATGATCATGCCGATTGAGGAAGATGTGCTTCAGTATTTTTTGCAACACTCTCTAGAAGGTGTAATTATAGAAAACAAAAAGCTCTATTTGAAAGAATGTGATGTATTCCTTCTAACTTGCAACAAAACTATGTAATTATTCTCACAGTTATTTAAATTTAAGGATTTGTTCCCTTGAAGCCTGAACACCCATCTGTGCCCGAGTCTCATTTTCCTGATGTTAAATGCCATAGCACTCAATATTGGCATCTTTCAAACTGCAGAAGCTGAACTCAAATTATACAAATTTGCATTAGCTGTAAACCTAAAACCACTATTTATATTTCTTGAGTTCTCCTACACTGTTTCCTCCCAAATCTCACAGGTACCAGCAAATTCCCCTTGTCTATTTTGTGCGACCATCTATACCATAATTAGTCTCACTTTCTAAGGTCTTACACCTCAGATGACCTGGAAGCTAATTGGTGTAAATAGTAAGCAGAAGATAAACAACATCAAGACATACTATGATAGGCATATTTTATTCATTTTCTTCATGTCAGAATATCTTTATCTTTGAGCCAAAGAACCAAACCAAATCAAACAACTGAAAAAAAAAATCCTAGCTTCACTATAAGGCACTTCAGGAGAGATGTTATAAAAAAAAAACCAAGCTCCAAACTCCTCCTTCAGTATATGCTCTGAAGAGAATGTATCAATAACTTAGAGCTAAGCCTATTGGTAACATTACGGCTAAGTGATGGTCTATGTGTGATAATGAGAAAAAATAAGTTGGAATCATCGTCTGTCTTTCCTGCTTTTAGTTTCTTTCCTTCTCTCTATTATCAGTACCCCAAATATAATTTTCTACTGTTATTCGGAAAGAAAATAGCAACCACCCACAAAGATACTTGTGTTTTCTCAAGCAAGATGCTCCGTTTGTGCCCTATATACCCCCAACTCTATATACTGAGATCTTTAAAATACGTTCACTTATGTTTTTTTTTCTTCCTGCCTTTCCTCCTGAGGACAAATTGAGACAGCTTATATATCTACCCCCAAACCTCCAATCCTTTATGTTTTAAATGGTTCTATGCTGTTAGTTCCATGCTATTATTTGAATTTCCACTACACTATATTTCATCTGTTTCAAGGATTTTATTTAAACTTGCGTCACCCATTCCCAGATAGTCCATCTTTTTCCTTTTCAAATTTAATTATTTGTATCTATATACTGTGAGGAAAAATTGTGAAAGACTTTGAAACGTGGTGGGTGTCCTGACAAGCTCTTCCATCTGAGTTATCTCTGCCTTTGTCTTTGACTAGGCTGTTTCATAACTTTATAGAGATAGATGATAATTTGTAGAAAACTGAGAGAAATGCAAATGATTTCTGTCCATAGAAATGCAAATTGTGTCTGATGAAATGCAATTAGTTATTGCTCTGAGAATATTGACTAGTTTTGCCAGTTTTTCATTCCCGTGTAAATAACATTTCAGCATTCCTTATCTGACTATAAATGTTGTATGCGACTCTGAGTTAGCTGTTTAACCCTTGTGGCACTTTTGTCTGTTTTTCTTCATTAATTACTTTAGTAATAGTTATGGCAGGCAGGCCTTGGCCTATGTTCATTTTACATTTATTTGTAAGAGAGTTACGAATTTGCCTTTTTTATTTATATTCCTTTCTCCACACTTCAACCTGTTCTCTAGAAACTTACTCATCCCCTCAGAAAAAAGGTCTACTCCAGTCCTCCATAGAATCCAGGAGAGGCATCCTCTCTCCTGTGCTCCGTCACTCATAGGTCCCAAGCAGCTTTGATCAGCAGTGACAGATGGCTTGGGGTTGGGGGTCAGGAGAGGGGAGCTATCTTCTGGTCACCCCATATCCCAGAATCCTCTCCTCTTTTACTAATTTTAATAAGCACTCCTAGGTCCCTGATTATTTGAGTTTCAAAAGCAGATAATTAATAAACCCAAATGGAGAAAGCCTATCTGATTAATATCTTCAATAATTATTGACCAATGCTTATTTTCAAAGAAAATTGAATCAATTCTGTGACTGAGGAACTCATACATAGAACACAGAGATGAAAGGGCTTGAGATTAAAAAACTTTGAGATTTTAGAGTCAGATTCCATGCACAGATGTATTTACATTTCTTGAGTAAAATTATTATCATTTAAACATTTTGCCTCAATTTTTAACTTTCTTGGATAAATCTCTTTTATTTATATTCTTCGCCACACCTATATTTTCTATATGCATGTTTAATAAACAGGTTTTATTATTCTAAAATACATGCAACATAAAGTTTATTATCCTAACCACTTTTAAGTATACAGCTCAATGGTATTAAGTACACTCGTATTATTGTAGAATCATCACTATGATCCATCTCCAGAACTCTTTTCATCTTGCAAAACAGAAACTGTGCCCATTAAACAGTAATTCCCTTTTCCCTTACCTCATCCCTGGTAACCACCACTGTACTTTCCATCTCTATAAATTTGCCTACTCATAGATGTGGGATCATAATGTATTTGTCTTCTTGTATCTGGCTTATTTCACTTGGTATGGTATCTTCAGGGTTCATCCAGTTGCAGCATGTGTCAGAATTTTAAGGATACATAGTATTCCTATATATATATATATATATATATATATGAGAAATGCGATATATATGTATATATGAAATGCGATATATATATATATGAAATGCGATATATATATAGGAAATGCGATATATATATATATGTTTTTTCCATTCATCCATTGATGGACACTTGGTTGCTTCCACATTTGAGCTGTTGTAAATAATGCTGCTGTGAACATGGGTGTATAAATACCTCTTTGAGACCCTGCTTTCAGTTCTTTTGGGTATATATTCAGAAGAGAAATTGCTGAATCATATGATAATTTCATTTTATTTGTTTTGAGGAATGGCTGTACTGTTTTCCATATCAGCTACGCCATTTTACGTTTCTACCAATGGTGCACACAAGATTCCAATTTCTCCACATTCTTGCCAGCACTTGGTATTTCCTGTTTTTATGTATTTATTTTTTGGATAGCAGTCATCCTAATGGTTGTGTGATGGTATTTCATTGTGATTTTGATTTACATTTCGCTAATGATTAATGATGTTGAGCATATCTTCATGCACTTATTAGTATTTGTATATATTCTTTAGATAATGCCTATCCAAGTCTTTTCCATATTTGAATCAGATTATTTGTTTTTGTTGAGTTTTGAGAGTTTTATATATATACTGGATATCAGTTCCTTACCAGATATATGATTTGAAAATATTTTATCACATTTTGAGTTATCTTTTTACTCTGGTGATTGTGTCTTTCTATATACAACAGATTTTAATTTTCATAAAGTCTAGTTTATTTATTTTTTCTTTTGCTGTCATATACAAGAAGGAAGATCACCCATGAAATTACGTTTCCAGAAACAATATGCCTTCAAAAATATGTTTTCAAAAGGCCTCATATTTTCTAATGCTTATTTAACCATTTTTACTTTGTATTCACCTGTAGTTTTAAAAATTTCTGAAAAGTTATTTAATATTTCTAATAAACACACCCCTGTATCAGTTTCCTTTCATAATTTTGAAGTAAAAACTTTTCAAAGCTAAAATAAGTGATTTTCAAGCAATCTTTTAATAAGATCGGGTTTTCTGTAATATGCTACTTCTTTTTGCCTCATTATGTCTCATCACCTGTCCCAGGCTGCCTTCCCAAGTTTAGGGAAGGCAGATTTAATCGTTTTTATAATTCTTTAGGATCAGAGAAAAGGGCCAGCATTTGATTCCTGTTTTAGGCACATAAAAGCTATGCCCTCTCTCTTGTAATCTGGGGTAAAGCAACTTAACCTTTCTAAATATGTGACATGAATAGGAATTAATAGATTACACAATTGCTGTGATGATAAAAATAATGTAGAATCTTTGGCAACAATATTAGCTACTACTATTACCATATTGACTCACGTAATAGGTGTTAACTAACAGAAGGAACAAATAAATCCTGGACTGGCATTTAAAATGTGGTGAATTAATATTCTTAACTGTATTCTGCCTTGTCTTCAATCCTCATTACTGTGACTAGAATGCGTATCAACTTAAAATCATTTAAAGTACACAGTTCTGATAGTTTGTGTAACTAACAGGCTGAACCAACGTAAATGAAACACACTGCTGCTTATGAGTACTTTAGATTTTTATGTTGATATAGTAATTGGGCTCCACAATTTTAAAACTATATTTGTGGTTGAAGGATTCACAACATCATGTTTAAAAAAATCTATCTTATGTAATTAAAAATGCCCATAGAAAATTTCTTTAAGAACATAAAGATTTTGGTTGGTTTGTATGGCCCACATAATTAGTTACATACTCAATATTCCTTTTCCCTTATTTAGTAACATATACTTGATTTTGCTCAATATAGTAATGTGCAGAATTTTAAAATGTAGTCATTTCCAACTAAATATCAGTAATCTGTTGCTAAATGTTATGTGACAAAAATCTACTAAACAGCATAAAGTTAGATGTATTACATTTTATAATCAGACCAATATCTTAAATGTAATTAAGACACAGTAAAATGCCTACACACACATAAACACACACACACACACACGTATATGAATGTGTGTAACTATCACCCTAGGATCTTAAGAAACAGTTATTTTTAATGCAATAACATGAAACCTTGTAGGGTTAGTAATATATAGGAGGCATCTTTTAGATTCTGGGATCCATTTATTAATTTTCCATGTGCTTATTAAAATGTCATTATATGATTCCTGTAGTTCTTAAATTGTATTTGTATTCTTATTCAAAGTTATTTCCACACATCATATTCTATAAATTTTTACAAATGTATACTTTAGCTAAAAAAGATGTTGACAAATACATACAACAAATGAAACTTGGATCTTAAAACTTTGTTTCTGATAAGCTTTAAATTGGAAGTGATATACACAAAAATGTGAAATTATTATCTGGGCAGACATTCTGGAGAATGTGCCTACCGTCAACTCTTTAGTCTCCCTTGCAGCTAAGAGTAGCTATGCAACCAGTCCTCGCTAACATAATATAAGCAAAGGTCTACCACATACATTTCCAGAAAAGTTATTGCTTTCATCAAAATAAAGGCATACAGTCAGTATGGGCATGTCTTTTGTCATTTACCTTTTTTTCATTCCTTTCTTTGGAATGCCTTGATATCTGTATGTGAAACAATCATATGACAATCACAAACAAAGATGGCAGTGTAGGTGGAAAAAAGGTGCTTTGGCCTTTGATGACTTCCTTGAGCAGCTATGTTGTTTTTGACATCAACCTCTGAGTGTCTTTATACATGATTTAATAATAGCTGTTTTGGCCTATGACACTATATTTTTTAGTAGGATTCTAGTTAGCAAGGATTGCTTTCTCTCACTCTATACTGTTATTTTATGTGCTCTGTATCCTTAAAAGTTCAAACAGGTAGACTTACCTTGCTTATATTCTTCACCAGTGAAATAATTCTATTATTAGGGGATCATCTTCAACAGAAATGGTTTGTGGACGGCATGTTTGGAGTAGTGAGGATGCAGGGAGAGATGTTTAACCAGGTAGACAGAGTAGTCAGATCCACTCTAGCAATTTACTGGTGACAAATGTTAGAGTCAGGTTGATCTCTCATGTCATTTTAGGTCTTCCTTCAGGTGCTTTCTCTTACCAGATAGAAAATTGACATTGGGCTTCAATGTTTTCAATTATTATAGTAAGACTATATTGTTTAGCTTCTATAACAAATACTTTGAGCTGCAAAAAGAATATCCAGTGGTGCTCAATGGCCTGAACAAAAAAGGAATTTATTTATTGCTCACTTAATAGTCCTAAGTAGGTGTTCCTGGTTAGCAGGTGATGCTCTTCCATTTAGTGATTTAGAGAGACAGGCTCTGCTCATCTTACGGATTCACTTTCCCCCACACCTTTGAGGTCATTTGCCTTGAGCAGAAAAAGAGCACAAAGAAAGAATACTTTGGAAAGAAATGCTTTGGAAAGATCACTTTGGAAAGAACTCTTTGGAAAGGAAACAGTACCTCTCACCTTCACTCACATTCTACTGGCAACAGCAAGTCTCATGTGAAAACTCACAGAGGCAAGTGATGTTGGGGAATGTAGTTCCTGGCTTGATAACTAATTTCCAAGTAAAATCTCTATACCATTAAGGGAAAGGATGCACATTGATATGTAGTTAGCTGACTGAAACACAGTCAAAATTAACTGTAGTCAACGAAATTATCTTTTGTAGAGGTCCTTTAAATTATGACTATCCAGTTTGCAGATAAAAACGAAACACCAGCAATAAGAATCAACCCCATCAAAAAGTGGGCAAAGGATATGAACAGACACTTCTCAAAAGAAGACATTTATGCAGCCAACAGACACATGAAAAAATGCTCATCGTCACTGGCCATCAGAGAAATGCAAATCAAAACCACAATGATATACCATCTCACACCAGTTAGAATGGCGATCATTAAAAAGTCAGGAAACAACAGGTGCTGGAGAGGATGTGGAGAAATAGGAACACTTTTACACTGTTGGTGGGACTGTAGACTAGTTCAACCATTGTGGAAGTCAGCTTGGTGATTCCTCAGGGATCTAGAACTAGAAATACCATTTGACCCAGCCATCCCATTACTGGGTATATACCCAAAGGATTATAAATCATGCTGCTATAAAGACACATGCACACGTATGTTTACTGCGGCATTATTCACAATAGCAAAGACTTGAAACCAACCCGAATGTCCAACAATGATAGACTGGATTAAGAAAATGTGGCATATATACACCATGAAATACTATGCAGCCATAAAAAATGATGAGTTCATGTCCTTTGTAGGGTCATGGATGAAACTGGAAACCATCATTCTCAGCAAACTATGGCAGGGACAAAAAACCAAACACCGCATGTTCTCACTTATAGGTGGGAACTGAACAATGAGAACACTTGGACACAGGAAGGGGAACATCACATACCGGGGCCTATTGTGGGGTGGGGGGATGGGGGAGGGACAGCATTAGGAGGATGCCTAATGTAAATGATGAGTTAATGGGTGCAGCACAACAACATGGCACATGTATACATATGTAACAAACCTGCATGTTGTGCACATGTACCCTAGAACTTAAAGTATAATAAAAAAAATTAAACTCATGAACCAATTCTAAAAAAAAATAAAAAAATAAATGCAGGTTTATCTGACTCCAAAAAAAAAAAAAGAAGAATAGCTTCCAGGTAGATGAAATGACTTTCTATAATAACATTAAATTCATAATACATTATTGAAATAATTATGAAATAATTATTTTCATTTGTCAATGTGTGTCTGTTTTCCTCATAGCATTTATGCAGCAGAAGCATTAAGATTCACAGTGAAACTAGCAAATAAATGACAGGAAAACATTGACACATTTCCTAATAGATTTTGTATATAAATAACTTTAATTTTATTTTGAGAGTGGCTGGGTATATGGATTTAAACACAGAATTAAGCTCCAGAGTCATTTTATAAAGAGAAGCTTTTAAAGTAACAGATGTCAAAGAGTCTCTAAAGATGCAAGTTTTCAATATTTGCCAATTTCTATTGTTGTGGGTTTTCACGGGCAAATAATACACCATGGTCCTTAAGATTTTTCCATTTTACATAATATCACATAAGCAACATAATGGGTTAGTTTTTGGCAATTTTTGTATAAATGAGGTTTGGATTTTTTTATTAGCCCACATATTTCTTTTTAAATGAATATCGTCTCCCAGTCTCACAAAGAGTATGCCTCCTTAACATGTTATTTTTCTGGCCTTGATGAAATTTTTTTAAGCTGGCAAAATTGAAAATTATATTTGGAACAAATACGTTCATTCTAAAAGTCTGAAACAAAAATAACACACCACCTCTTTTTTCTCCTTTAATCTCCCCATGATTCTTCTGCCTTAAATGTTTAAATTAATTACTTAATTATATTTTACATGCTTATAAATTTTATAATATTTTGCCTTTAGTTTCTCAATTCCTTATCTTGTTGTTTTTAATCAATTGATTGCATGAAACCAAGAGAGAAATGCACTATTTGCATGTGAGAAATAAGAAGCAATTTTGATTTTAATGGTGTTTTAAATCTCCCTTATTTATATGGTAGTCTCCCCATCCATCTTTAATGGTAGAGAAAATGATTTGGCCATCAGAGATATTTCATTGTTCTAGTAAAAGACATGTTTAGGTTATGATAATTAAACTTGTGTTAAACAATAAAATGAAAAATATATGCAATTGAGATTTGGAAGCAGTTGGCGATTTGTAGCAGGCTATCCTTTGTGAACACTCTGAATTTAAGGAGCTAAGGTTTAAACATAAAGAAAAATGACAAGAGAATAATCCTCAAAATATTTCATTCTCAGTGAAATAGGTATGTGAGGAAATAAAAAAACAACATGAAGGTTATATGTATGCTTCTGATGTCCTTGACATTTTGCCAAATACCAAGAGGATAAATAATATTAGAACAAATGGTGTTCTTGTTTTCAGAGTTTTAGCAATATGATTGAAGCAGTAACGCAACTTGAAAGTTGGGGCTAACGTTTTAAAATACAAATATTTTTTCCAAATGAACTCTCAATTCACAGGATCTATCTAATAGGACTATCACTTTAGGGATAGTTTCCCTCTGATCTTAAGTCACCAAACATTGCCTTAGGTTTCTTTAGCCCTAAAAAAGTATAGTTTCAGAAGTAGAGCATGGAACACTCAGTAAAACTTTGTTGCCTAGATCTTAGTCCTGTGGCTACATCTAATAACAGAAGAGGCTGGGAAATAGAATCTCGATGTGTGAACAGGAAAAAGATAAGAGCCTGGAGTTTGGTAATCACTAGCAGTCTCTAATATGGAAGAAATATTGTTGCTTTTTTCTTCTTTTTAAAAGCATATTTACTTACAAAATTAACAGAAACATATATTCTCTTCAGAAAAAAATTAAAACATTACAAATGAAAGTTAAATTCTCTTTGATCACTACCACATTTTCTTGTAGCCCTCCCCCAGGCATAATTGCAATAAGAAGTTTATTGTCAATTCTTGCAGATTACTTTCTCTTTAATAAGAGAGAAGCAATCATTCTGGGAAACTACGTCAAGGAATGGAGGAAGTAGCCTGTGTAAAAAACAGCAATTACATAGTTCTTACTATGCTACCCACTCTTCTAAGAGCTTGGTGCATAATAAATCCTCTAATCATAACAACAAATCCGTGAAGTAGTTATTGTTATTACCACCTTTACTTTACAGATGAAGAAACTGAGGCACAGGAAGGTTAATATGTTGCTTAAGCTCCCAGAATTAATACTGAAATTGCTTTTGCAAATATTGTGAAAGTGAGAAAAACCTGACATAGGAAAATTGTGACAGTAAAAGAAATGTGACCTAACTGATTCTCTTGCTTCTAACTCTCAAGCTGCCTTTGTTCATTCCTGGGCATAGGCAAAGCTAATTTTGGGAGGAATTTAGTTTATGTTTAACTTTGAAACAAAGATGATAACGGCCTCTTCTCAAAACAAACCTCCTCCTTTTTGGGGGACCAGACCACCTTTGTAAAATGAACAAATTAGTCACAGATTAGAAATTATGGCTCAGGAGCCACGTAGCCAGATGCCACAAGATTCCTCACCTCCCCAGTTGCTCCTATGGATACATCATTATTGTAAATCCTAAGACTGGTGTTCGAGGTATTTTTCAGACCCTGTGTTGTGTTGGATCTGCTGGTGCCACCCAGCCCAGTGAACTGGCTCATTTGGTCTTGTGGTCCCCATCTAGGAGCTGACTCTGAAAGAGGACAGCTTCAACTCCCTATGATTTCACCCCCAACCCAACCAATCAGCACTCCCCATTCTGTAGCCTTCTGCCTGCCAAACTGTCCTCAAAAAATCCCTAGCCTCTGAATTTTCAGAGGGGCTGATTTGAGTGAGTAATAATAAACTCCTGTCCTTCTGCTTAGTTGGCTCTGCATTTATTAAACCCTTTCTCCATTGCAAAAACCTGTTCTCAGTACGGTGGCTTTTCAGGGCAGCAGGCGATATGAACCCTTGGGTGATTACACTGTTCTGTGGATCTGAAATGGTAATGTATGCCATTTCTCTCCAGAGTCTGTGTGCCCTCCACCACCTCTGACAGAAATGATGCAGGATGTGCTTCATTCATGACAAACCTGTGAAGACCAGAATCACCCTCCCATTGTCAAGAAATAGAAAACTCTATGATTTCATATAGAAAACTCATGTGAAACTCTATGATTTCACAAAACTCTATGATTTCACAATAGAAAACTCAATGATTTCACAAAATGTGGAATCATTGTTTTAAGACAAGGAACAACAGGCAGTGCAGGCCTATGATCCCTAAGAGAAGGGCAACAAATGAGTCAGGTGTTGGGGCTGCTCTAGCTACTGGAGGCAATTTTTATACTGTGACACAGAGAAAAAGGACTCAAACAGAGCCTACTGTGATCATGAGTTTTATGAGACACGGATCAGAGTTTAGGGAGGTTGAGACAGGTAGAATTGGTGAGGAAAAGTACCAAGAGGACAAAGCTGCCAACAGAAAAGTTTCCAGAAATCTGCAAATGTGTAGAGTCAAAAAGTAGTTCTAGGAAATGACCAAGTACTATTGACCTCTAAAGAGAAAACTGCCTAGTGCTCTCACAGGAGCAAGAATCATGGCCGTTTCCAGCAGACAGAGTTGACAGACACTTTTGGATACGTGGGGCTTTCCGTGTAGACCTTCTGAATGGCCAGGCTTATTGGGACCAAACAGGCCAAAAAGAACACCAAAGACCTGCCCTTTAAAATATTTTAAAAAAAAAAGATTCTCAGAGAAAATAGATATCAATATGTTATATATAAACCCAATGATAAGAGATCTTACATTAAACATAGATTGAATAAATATTCCCTTTATGAGAGTAAAGAAATAAGCTTCCAAAAGATAAAAAATCTGTAAGCCACTTTACAATCCACCAGTGCAGAGTCCAAAACTCTTTAAAATAATAAATAAAAGCAAGCACTCAGTAGCATAAAGTTTGCAAAGTCGAGCATACAATCCTGAAATTACTAGACTTGCAAAATGGAGGAAAATGTGATCCATAATAACAAGAAAACACTCAATCTCTCTAAAGAAATAGAGAGGCCAGGCACGGTGGCTCATGCCTGTAATCCCAGCACTTTGGGAGGCTGAAGCAGGCAGATCACGAGGTCAGGAGTTCAAGGCCAGCCTGGCCAACATAGTGAAACCCTATCTTTACTAAAAATAAAAATAAAAACAAATTAGTTGGGCGTGGTGGCTGGCACCTGTAGTCCCAGCTACTTGGGAGGCTGAGGCAGGAGAATCGCTTGAACCCGAGAGATAGAGGTTGCAGTGAGCTGAGATCATGCCACTGCACTCCAGCCTGGGCAACACAGGAGACTGCCTCAAAAAAAAAAAAAAAAAGAAATAGAGAAGTGATGTAGATAATGTAATTAGTAAATAAGAACATTAAAACAGATTTTATAAATATACTCAATATGCTTAAAGACTTATAGGAAAAATCAGTGAGAAGAGGAATGAAAAATACAAAAAAGGAACACTGAGTTAAAAATCAGTACATAAAATAAAAATTTCACTGGACAAAATTAACAGCTAATGAAATACTGTAGGAAAGAAAGATTATTCAACTTGAAGACATAGCAATAGAAACTATCCAAAATGAAGAAGATAGGGGAAGATAAAGACTGAAAATAAATTAACAGAGACTCCAACTTTCTGGAAAAATAGTAATCTAATATAAATTTAATTTGAATTCCAGAAAGAAGAGATAGGTAAAATTATTTGAGGAAATAATAATTTCCAAATTTGATGAAAATTGTAAATCAAAGGGATGCAAAAACTCACTAATTTCAAGCACGATAAAGACAAATTAAAAAATACCAAGGTATATCAAAATCAATTTGTTGAATGCAAATAATAAAGAAAAATCTTTAAGGCAGCCAGAATACAGCGACAGATTACTATAGAAGGGTAAATATAAGCATAAGGGTAAATTTCCCATCAGAAACTATGCAAGACAGAAAACAAGGGAGGTGACTTTTAAAAATACTGGGGGAAAAACTCTGTCCATTTAGATATACACAGCTAAAATACCTTACAACAATTAAGGAGAAATGGACTTTTTTTTTCACAGAAATTTTGCAGAAGAATAATAGCAAAGAGAATTTGCATCTTTACTGCAAAAAATGTTAAAGCAAATTTCTGTCTCAGAATGAGAGACCAGATAGAAATTTGGATTTCTAAAAAAGAAATATAGAGCTCCAAAAATAGTTAAAATAAAGTTGGATAGAAAAGGCATTTCTTATTATTGTTATCTGCTCCTACAGATAGATGACTATCAAAAGCAAAAATAGCAGCCATGCATTTTGGGGTTTCAGCCTACATAAAAGTAAAATTTATACCCACCGTAACACAAAATGCAAGTTAAAACCACATGGTGACAATATTTCGCACCCACTTGAATGGCTAAAGTAAAAAATACTAATTTAAGAATCAAGCAAAGATGACAAGATGTACAGGATTACCTGTATAGGATTATGTGGGTATGTTCCATAAGACTTACTTCCAACTCCCAAAGACAGCTGTGGTAGGTTGTGTGTTGCCACTTACTCTTAGAATAACCTGGGGAAATTTTCATACTAAGCCTCCAGTTCCTTGTCAATAGAATGAGGATAACATAAACTTTCGTGCCTAGCACACAATAAGTACTTAATACACTTTATCAACTGAGAAAATTTACATTATAAATTCTTGTGAAAATATATTTATTATTAATTCTTCCCTTATTTTTCTGGCGGCAAAACCAGTCTTACAACCTCTGAACTGAGTCAAGAATGTGTTCTATTAGAGAAGAAGCAAATCTGATTTCTTTCACATACAAACTTGTGAAATTTGAGGTTCATAATAATCAAATGCATGTTTTGAGAATCAGAAACATGACTTCAAGGTCAGTTGATTGATTCAACTTTTGAACTCCAGCATTACATTCTACAAAGATTTACAATGGTTTTAGCATTATATTTTAGTATTTATTTATTTATTAAACAAGTTAAGAATTGATAATTAACCATTCTAAAAAGAAGATATATACATAATATTCAGTGGACAAAATTTAAAGATACCCATGAGGCTCTAGGTGGTAAAATATGAAATGCAAATGTGAGAATATTTTTGTTTTTTAATATTATTGAGGCATAATTGATATAGAAAAATTGCACGTGTTTATGCTTTTTGATGAGCTTGAACATATGCATGTTTGTTTTGTTTTATTTTGTTTTAAATTTGGTCACAAGGTATACAATGGACTCTTTATTATCTGAAGCTTCAGGGAGGAAGCGGCAGTCAGATATTGCGGAGTGAAATGTGCACCTCCACAAAGGAGCAAGGCTCCTTCACAACCAATCCTAACTTTTCACTGCTAAGCGTCAGCCTAATATATCATTTATAAAGGCTCATGATAGACTTTTTGTAGCTACAAAGGGCTACATTTGGTCAAAGCCTTCTGGAACTTCTATTAAGTTTCCAGATGTTTTGGCAATAGCTTTCAAAAAAAGACAGTTTTTGCTAACCATAACTTAATTTTACTAGTCTAGGCATTGGGATGAACTAGTATTCAACTCTTCTAAGCTGTTTCCCCTGTTCTATAAGGTATGAGTGCACTGTCTCTTTCTCTGCCAGGTTTTGCATTTGATGGTTTCCAGGAACTGCTAAGAGTGAGATCATCCCTGAAGCAGTGACTGCCAGAGGAAGGCGAGAGACATATGGTGGCCTTACAGGTATTCTTTCCAAATCTATATTAAGAGATTACACAGAAAATGTCTGCATCTAAATATATGTCTCATGAAATAAAGTTCATGAACCTTTTTTATTTCCTCTTATGACCTATGATTGGGATTTTGTCTGAATATCAATAGTGCCAAAAATAAATATAGAACTGTTAAGATCTCACTGCATTATCCATTATTATAAGGAAATTGTAGTAAAGACATTATGAGTATAGAGACAAAAAAGTAGAACTTATAGGATTAAAAATAATGGATATTTTACAGTATTTCATGAGACCAAGAGACAGAGCGTGAAGAGTTCATGCAGTCTGTGGGGCTGAGTATCTTTCACTTCTGTTCTTCTTGCACTTTACCTATTATTCTCTTAACCCTGCATACACTGCCTTCTTGTTGAAAAAAAGTCATGATAGAGGACAATCAGAAGTTCTATTGTTTAGAAAGTAAATGAGGAAAATGTGAAAGTTAGGTATGTGAGATTAAATGTGGCCAGCATGATATAGTAGAAGCAAAAAAAAAAAAAAAAAAAAAAAAACCTACAGTACAAGGCAAAACTCCTGGTTTCTAACTGTAAGTGTACACTTAAAAATGTTGACATTTAGTTTGCGTTGATTTTCCCCTACAAAGTAGGAATGATATGTAACAGCTTTGAAGCCCACATCATAGGGATTTTGTAAATGACAAATCACATGTTTGTAAATCTATTTTGAAAAGATGAGATATGTATTTCTACAGAGAAATCTTAAGTCTTCTGGAGAGTAAATGTTTAAAAAATCTTCTAAAAATCTGTGCCTTTATTACCTCTTTGTGAATGATTCTACCCTCCATCCAATCACTTAAGCCAAAAATATGGGAATCCAGCACCAACTTTTAAAATCCAGTTTAGTGGTACTTTGACAGCGCCTACACTGAGACTCTGAGAGACCAACATAACGAGTTAGGCAACATTGTCTTCCTTAAAGATTCTCAAGGTATTCTGGACCTACCAGCTTTTTACATTTTGTATCTTATTCATTGACACGAATGGTAAAACACAAGCTGAGCCCATTCCATAACGTGTTTGGGACGAAAAGTCTAATGAAAAATAATTTGAACATGGTCCACTATGAATTTCAGAGTTGTTTGATAGATGATGGGGAGGGGGACAGTGAAAGTTGAATTGAAGAGATAAATAAGAGGATCTGTAAAATAAATCATGATAAATAAGTTAGAATTTGTGCAATGTGTGCTATACTGAGAGGCAAGGCCAGAGGGTGTCAAAGAATCATGGTCACATTTATAATGTGAAATGTGCTCAACATATTCCTTGCTTGATTGACCTTTTCACTTCTTACAGAAGGCAGAGTGTAGACTGAGTAGAACAATAGTGTTCAATGATGCTGATAAAAAATGACAGTAAAAGATAGAAGCTTTGGTTTAATTGATATGCCCTCACCTTTGATTCTTAAAAGGAAAATTACCATGTTGCAGTCAATTTACATGTTTAATTGCCATATGCACTCTTATTGAACCTCTGGGTTTGAGTAAGGTATATTTGGGAATAGTATTTAATGAGTCAGCACAGAGGTTATGAAGCATTCAGATTTGAAATATTATCATAAATGTCACACATTTGTACTTATTGGCAATTGAGGATGAGAATTCAGCAATTACACTTAAGTATCTCTTATACTTGTTCTTGATTTTATCTTTACTACCATTTCTGTAGTTTAGACACTTTTCTCAAATTTTTTTTCAAAAAACTTATAACTGATAAAACATTCTTCAATCTTATCCATTCCAAACCATCCTTAACTCTGCTTCCAGAATTGTCTTTAAAACTTGAAAGTCTGGAGGAAGTTCCAAGATGGCCAAATAGGAACAGCTCCAATCTATAGCTCCTAGCATGAGTGATGCAGAAGACAGATGATTTCTGTATTTCCAACTGAGATACTGGGTTCATCTCACTGGGGCTTGTTGGACAGTGGGTGCAGCCCACAGAGCAGGGCGGGGCATCACCTCACCCAAGAAGTGCAAGTGGTGGGGGAATTCCCTTTCCTAGTCAAGGGAAGCTGTGACAGATGGTACCTGGAAAATTGGTACACTCCCACCCTAATACTGCACTTTTCCAATTGTCTTAGCAAACAGCACACCAGGAAATTATATCCTGCGCATGGCTCGGAGGGTCCCACACCCACAGAGCCTCACTCACTGCTAGCACAGCAGTCTGAGATCGAACTGCAAGGTGGCAGCCAGGCTGGGGGAGGGGCGCCTACCATTGCTGAGGCTTGAGTAGGTAAACAAAGTGGCCAGGAAGCTCGAACTGGGTGGAGCCCACCGCAGCTCAAAGAGCCCTGCCTGCCTCTGTAGACTCCATCTCTGGGGGCAGGGCACACCTGAACAAAAGGCAGCACAAACTTCTGCAGACTTAAACATCCCTGTCTGACAGCTTTGAAGAGAGTAGCGGTTCTCCCAGCACAGAGTTTGAGATCTGAGAACGGACAGACTGCCTCCTTAAGTGGGTCCCTGACCCCTGAGTAGCCTAACTGGGAGAAACCTCCCAGTAGGGGCCTACCGGCACCTCATACAGCCAGATGACCCTCTGAAACGAAGCTTCCAGAGGAAGGATCAGGCAGCAACATTTGCCATTCTGCAATATTTGCTGTTCTGCAGCCTCCCCTGGTGATACCCAGGCAAAACAGGGGATGGAGTGGACCTCCGGCAAACTCCAACAGACCTGCAGCTGAGGGTCCTGACTGTCAGAAGGAAAACTATCAAACAGAAAGGACATCCACACTAAAACCCCATCTGTATGTCTCCATCATCAAAGATCAAAGGTAGATAAAACCACAAAGATGGGGAGAAACCAGAGCAGAAAAGCTGAAAATCCAAAAATCAGAGCGCCTCTTCTCCTCCAGAGGAACACAACTCCTCGCCAGCAATGGAACAAAGCTGGATGGAGAATGACTTTGACAAGTTGAGAGAAGAAGGCTTCAGATGATTGGTAATAACAACCTTCTCCGAGCTAAAGGAGGATGTTTGAACCCATCACAAAGAAGCTAAAAACCTTGAAAAAAGGTTGGACGAATAGCTAACTAGAATAAAAGCATAGAGAAGACCTTAAATGACCTGATGGAGCTGAAAACCATGGCACGAGAACTACGTGACGCATGCACAAGCTTCAGCAACCAATTCGATCAAGTGGAAGAAAGGGTATCAGTGATTGAAGATCAAATGAATGAAATGAAGTGAGAAGAGAAGTTTAGAGAAAAAAGAGTAAAAAGAAACGAGCAAAGCCTCCAAGAAATATGGGACTATGTGAAAAGACCAAATCTATGTCTGATTGGTGTACCTGAAAGTGTTGGGGAGAAAGGAACCAAGCTGGAAAACACTCTTCAGGATATTATCCAGGAGAACTTCCCCAACCTAGCAAGGAAGGCCAACATTCAAATTCAGGAAACACAGAGAACACCACAAAGATACTCCTCGAGAACAGCAACTCCAAGACACATAATTGTCAGATTCACCAAGGTTGAAATGAAGGAAAAAATATTAAGGGCAGCCAGAGAGAAAGTCGGGTTACCCACAAAGGGAAGCCCATCAGATTAACAGCGGATCTCTTGGCAGAAACTCTACAAACCAGGAGAGAGTGGGGGCAAATATTCAATATTCTTAAAGAAACGAATTTTTCAACCCAAAATTTCATATCCAGACAAACTAAGCTTCATAATTGAAGGAGAAATAAAATACTTTACAGACAAGCAAATGCTGAGAGATTTTGTCACCACCAGGCCTGCCTTACAAGAGCTCCTGAAGGAAGCAGTAAACATGGAAAGGAACAACCGGTACCAGCCACTGCAAAAACATGCCAAATTGTAAAGACCATCAATGCTAGGAAGAAACTGCATCAACTAACGAGCAAAATAACCAGCTAACATCATAATGACAGGGTCAAATTCACACATAACAGTATTAACCTTAAATGTAAATGGGCTAAATGCTCCAATTAAAAGACACAGACTGGCAGATTGGATCAAGAGTCAAGACCCATCAGTGTGCTGTATTCAGGAGACCCATCTCATGTGCAGAGACACACATAGGCTCAAAATAAAGGGATGGAGGAAGATCTACCAAGCAAATAGAAAACAACAAAAAAAGCAGAGGTTGCAGTCCTAGTCTCTGATAAAACAGACTTTAAACCAACAAAGATCAAAAGAGACAAAGAAGGCCATTACATAATGGTAAAGGGATCAATTCAACAAGAAGAGCTAACTATCCTAAATATATATGCACCCAATACAGGAGCACCCAGATTCATAAAGCAAGTCCTTAGAGACCTACAGAGACTTAGACTCCCACACAATAATAATGGGAGACTTTAACACCCCACTGTCAACATTAGACAGATCAATGAGACAGAAAGTTAACAAGGATATCCAGGAATTGAACTCAGCTCTGCATCAAGCAGACCTAATAGACATCTACAGAACTCTCCACCCCAAATCAACAGAACATACATTTTTCTCAGCATCACATCACACTTATTCCAAAATTGACCACATAGTTGGAAGTGAAGCATTCTTCAGCAAATGTAAAAGAACAGAAATTATAACAAACTGTCTCTCAGACCACAGTGTAATCAAACTAGAACTCAGGATTAAGAAACTCACTCAAAACTGCTCAAGTACATGGAAACTGAACAACCTCCTCCTGAATGACTACTGGGTACATAACAAAATGAAGGCAGAAATAAAGATGTTCTTTGAAATCAATGAGAAAAAAGACACAACATACCAGAGTCTCTGGGACACATTTAAAGCAGTGTGTAGAGGGAAATTTATAGCACTAAATGCCCACAAGAGAAAGCAGGAAAGATCTAAAATTGACACCCTAACATCACAATTAAAAGAACTAGACAAGCAAGAGCAAACACATTCAAAAGCTAGCAGAAAGCAAGAAATAACTAAGATCAGAGCAGAACTGAAAGAGATATAGACACAAAAAACCCTTCAAAAAATCAATGAATCCAGGAGCTGGTTTTTTGAAAAGATCAACAAAATTGATAGACCGCTACCAAGACTAATAAAGAAGAAAAGAGAGAAGAATCAAATAGATGCATTAAAAAATGATAAAGGGGATATCACCACTGATCCCACAGAAATACAAACTACCATCAGAGAATACTATAAACACCTCTATGCAAATAAACTAGAAAATCTAGAAGAAATGGATAAATTCCTGGACACATACACCCTCCCAAGACTAAACCAGGAAGAAGTTGAATCTCTGAATAGACCAATAACAGGCTCTGAAATTGAGTCAATAATTAATAGCCTACCAACCAAAAAAGTCCAGGACCAGACGCATTCGCAGCCGAATTCTACCAGAGATACAAAGAGGAGCTGGTACCATTCCTTCTGAAACTATTCTGATCAATAGAAAAAGAGGGAATCTTCCCTCACTCATTTTATGAGGCCAGCATCATCCTGATACCAAAGCCTGGCAGAGACACAACCAAAAAAGAGAATTTTAGACCAATATCCCTGATGAACATCGAGGCAAACATCCTCAATAAAATACTGGCAAACAGAATCCAGCAGCACATCAAAAAGCTTATCCACAACGATCAAGTTGACTTCATCCCTGGGATGCAAGGCTGGATCAATATATGCAAATCAATAAACGTAATCCATCATATAAACAGAACCAAAGACAAAACCACATTATTATCTCAATAGATGTAGAAAAGGCCTTTGACAAAATTCAACAGCCCTTTATGCTAAAAACTCTCAATAAACTAGGTATTAATGGGACATATCTCAAAATAATAAGAGCTATTTATGACAAACCCACAGCCAACAATATACTGAATAGGCAAAAACCGGAACCATTCCCTTTGAAAACTTGCACAAGACAGGGATGCTGTCTCTCACCACTTCTATTCAACATAATGTTGGAAGTTCTGGCCAGGGCAATTAAGCAGGAGAAAGAAATAAAGGGTATTCAGTTAGGAAAAGAGGAAGTCGAATTGTCCCTGTTTGCAGATGACATGATTGTATATTTAGAAAACCCCATCATCTCAGCCCAAAATCTCCTTAAGCTGGTCAGCAACTTCAGCAGTCTCAGGATACAAAATCAATGTGCAAAAATCACAAGCATTCCTGTACAGCAATAACAGACAAACAGAGAGCCAAAACATGAGTAAATTCCCCTTCACAATTGCTTTAAAGAGAATAAAATACCTATGAATCCAACTTACAAGGCATGTGAAGGACCTCTTCAAGGAGAACTACCAACCACTGCTCAACGAAATAAAAGAGGACACAAACAAATGGAAGAACATTCCATGCTCAAGGATAGGAAGAATCAATATTGTGAAAATGGCCATACTGCCCAAGGTAATTTACAGATTCAATGCCATCCTCATGAAGCTACCAATGACTTTCTTCACAGAATTGGGAAAAAACTAAAGTTCATATGGAACCAAAAAAGAGCCCGCACAGCCAAGACAATCCTAAGCCAAAAGAACAAAGCTGGAGGCATCATGCTACCTGACTTCAAACTATACTGCAAGGCTACAGTAACCAAAACAGCATGGTACTGGTACCAAAACAGAGATATAGACCAATGGCATAGAACAGAGCCCTCAGAAGTAATACCACACATCTATAACCATCTGATCTTTGACAAACCTGACAAAAACAAGAAGTGGAGAAAGGATTCCCTATTTAATAAATGGTGCTGGGAAAACTGGCTAGCCATATGTAGAAAGCTGAAACTGGATCACTTCCTTACACCTTATACAAAAATTAATTCAAGATGGATTAAAGACTTAAATGTTAGAACTGAAACCATAAAAAAACCCTAGAAGAAAACCTAGGCAATACCATTCAGGCCATAGGCATGGGCAAGGACTTCATGACTAAAACACCAAAAGCAATGGCAACAAAAGTCAAAATAGGCAAATGAGATCTAATTAAACTAAAGAGCTTCTGCACAGCAAAAGAAACTACCATCAGAGTGAACAGGCAACCTACAGAATGGGAGAAAATTTTTACAATCTACCCATCTGACAAAGGGCTAATATCCAGAATCTACAAAGAACTTTAACAAATTTACAAGAAAAAATCAAACAACTCATCAAAAAGTGGGCAAACGATATGAACAGACACTTCTCAAAAGAAGACATTTATGCAGCCAACAGACACATGAAAAAATGCTCATCATCACTGGCCATCAGAGAAATGCAAATCAAAACCACAATGAGATACCATCTCACACCAGTTAGAATGGCAATCATTAAAAAGTCAGGAAACACAGGTGCTGGAGAGGATGTGGAGAAATAGGAACACTTTTACACTGTTGGTGGGACTGTAAACTAGTTCAACCATTGTGGAAGAAGGTGTGGTGATTCCTCAAGGATCTAGACCTACAAATACCATTTGACCCAGCCATCTCATTACTGGGTATATACCCAAAGGATTATAAATCATGCTGCTGTAAAGACACATACACACGTATGTTTATTGTGGCACTATTCACAATAGCAAAGACTTGGAACCAAGCCAAATGTCCATCAATGATAGACTGGATTAAGAAAATGTGGCACATATACACCACGGAATACTATGCAGCCATAAAAAATGATGAGTTCATGTCCTTTGTAGGGACATGGATGAAGCTAGAAACCATCATTCTGAGCAAACTATCGCAAGGACAGAAAACCAAACACGACATGTTCTCACTCATAGGTGAGAATTGAACAATGAGAACGCTTGGACACAGGGTAGGAAACATCACACACCGGGGCCTGTCATGGGGTGAGGGGATGGGGGAGGGATAGCATTAGGAGATATGCCTAATGTACATGATGAGTTAACGGGTACAGCAAACCAACATGACACATGTATACATATGTAACAAACCTGCATGTTGTGCACATGTACCCTAGAACGTAAAGTACAATAATAATAAAAAAAGAAAGATCAAAAATGACACATCTTCTAAGGCCCAGCTTCATGATCTCATGTCTTTGTATTTTTCAAGGAAAGGAGGCTCCCACTTGCTCCTGTCTGCCTCATCACCTCCTTCTATATTTTTCTTAAATAGTGTAATCCAGCCTCTCTTGGTTTATTTAATTCTCCTCTTCACCTCTCTCACCCTGATGAAACCTAGCCAAACTCCAATAAATGAACAAGCAGGAAAAAAGAAACTGGAAAGTCTGATTAGGTTATTAAGGTTCATTAGTACTTTAATTCCTTCAGTGGTATCCCAAGACAAAGAATGCAACAAAATCTATTTTCAAAAGCCATAAACCTGTGTAGCCATGGTTCTTACCACTCTCTCTCATTACTTAAAATGAATGTGGAACATATATATAATATGTATATATGCAAATGTGTATATATACATATATAAGATATAAATTATACATACATATATATACACATAGATAGTCATTTTTCAGATTCTTTCTGAACACCTGTTGCATTTTTTGTTAGAGGAACTTACATTTCCATGGTCAGAGATGAATAATAAACAGCAGCAGCAAAACAAAACACAACAAACACCAATTCAATAAAATAATAAATATGGTAATATGTTCTGAAGAAAATGAAAGATGATACGAAGTACAGTGACTAAAGTGTAGAGATGGAATAAGCCCTATGTTAGGTAGGCTGGATCTTCCAGAGGAAGTGATATCTGAACTCAGACTTGAAGTAATTCATCGATACAAATAGCTGGGATAAGCAAAGTCTAAGAAAAGAGAACAACATGTGGAAAGACCTTCAAAACAATAAAACCTTCAGAGTGGCTGGAACATAGTCAGGGGTGCGTGGAGAGAGTTGGTTTAAGGTAAAATTGAAAAGTCAATAGGGCCAGGTAGTGTATAACAATAACTTTTCTATTAGCAAGAAGAACAATAACAGTAATAATAATAAATATACAATATGCCAAACACTATTTCAAACAAGCATTTACTGGTTTTATCTTAACAATATCTGTGTGTCAAAGGAACTATTATTAACCACTATTTTGCAAGTGAGCACATGGAGCAAAGAGAAAACTAATGGCTTGCCTAAGATCACATAGTAAAACTTACAGCTGGTAAATGATTAAATCTGTCACTACCACGGGCAGTCTGACTTTAGAATCTATGGTTGTAATCATCATTCTACACTATATGTAGGAATTTATCAGACTAAATAAGTATTTTCATTTCTTCTAAATGTAATGGGAAGCTAATGCAAAGTAGCAAGCAAGGAAGATAAGATGTAATTTACCCTTGAAAAAGATCCCTCTCGCCACTATGTAGGAGATAGTTTGTGTGTTTGTTTGAAGGGGGTTTGCTTACAAAAATGAAAACAGAAAGGTCGGTTAAAGCACAAGTGCAGTCATTCAGGCAAAAGATGGTCATGATTTGGACTAAATGGTAATAGGTAAGCTTATGAGAATTTGTTAAATTCATATGTATCTTGAAGGTAAAGATAACAGATTTATTGATCAATGAAAAGAATAGATTATGAAATTAGACTATTAATGAAGACTTAATTTTTGCTCACTGAATGTGTAGATGTCAATTCCATTAACTAAGATGGGAAATATCAGGTGGGAGGGAAATAAGTTGGGAAAAGTAGGAAATAAAGGGTCTTTGCTTGGAAAATGTTAAGTTTGGCATGCCCATTGGATATCCAAGTGGAGAGTTTAAGAAGATAATTAAAAATAAATGTTTGGTGCTCAGGGCGAGGTGAGGACTAAATCAATAAATTTGGCATCATCAGGATATGGATAAAATTTAGGCCCGGCGCGGTGGCTCACGCCTGTAATCCCAGTACTTTTGGAGGCCAAGGCGGGCGGATCATGATTTCAGAAGATTGAGACCATCCTGGCTAGCACGGTGAAACCCTGTCTGTACTAAAAAAATACAAAAAATTAGCCAGGCTTTGGTGACGGGCTGTAGTCCCAGCTGCTCCGGAGGCTGAGGTAGGAGAATGGCGTGAACCTGGGAGGCGGCGCTTGCAGTGAGCCGAGATTGCGCCGCTGCACTCCAGCCTGGGCTACACAGAGAGACTTCGTCTCAAAAAAAAAAAAAAAAAAAAAAAAAAAATTAAAGCTTTTTAAAGCTAAAGGGCTGAATGAGTTCGTCACCTTGGAAAATAGTAGTCATTCTGATTTACTTGTTACATCTCAAACATTCCATGCTTTCTCATACCTCCACCATTATAGGCAGTTAGGTAATAGTTTTCTCTGAAAAATACAGCTAATCTTTCACATCTTACCCAAGTCTTCCCTCTGTAGTAAAACTTTTCCTGATGACCTGTAAAGAGTTTCGGAGTGATTAAAACATTTATTCCAACCATCCATTCATCCATTCATCCATTCAACTAGTGGATGTTGGATAGCTAATCTATGCTACAGAGTTTGCTAAACATTTGGGGTTGCCATGGTAAATACAATATACTGTATCTCTGTCTTTTGGAATTGTTTGTCTTCATACATCTTCTGGAGCCATATTTCTCTAATGTTGAGTTGTAACATTGTGGGCCATTAAAACAATTTCCTAAGTTTTGGTTAGCTTGAAGAAAAGAGATAGAAAAAATAAAATAGAGGATATCATATCATGCATAACAATAGTAAATAATGCTTTATGAATTATTTTTTATCCTGATGCAGGTATCTACAATATTGAAACAATGTTTTATTTTTATTTTTATTTTTTATGGAGAGTGTTCAAAAAAGTTGGAAAGACATTGTAGGAAACCACTTACCACTTTGTAAGTCTCTCTCTCTCCATTTGACTGAACTCTGTGGGGGAAAGAGCCCAGTCTTCTTACAGCCTTATTACATTTGAATCCTCAGCATGTAGCTCCTGATGTGGATCAGGTAAGCAAGAAATGTTTGTGGGAAAAGACGGTGGGAGGGAGAGAAATCACAGAAAGTGGGGCATTACAAGCAAGCAGCACTTAGTACCACTGAAAGTTGGCCTCTGGGGAGTCATGAGTGATTAACCAAGCATTGGGGTTCTCTGCATTGTGATTGGAGGGTAAGTACAGGGCAACTCCAGAAATAAATAGATTTTGCAATTGCTGTACAACAGAATGAAATAATACCTACACATCAAATCAAATGAAAGTCTTCTTAATGTCTGGTACTGTATTGGTTGTTATAAAAAACTGACCTTTTGTTTTATAATACCAATTCTATTTGGTTTGAAAAATAAATAAATATTAAGTCATTGTTACTTGCTTCATATCTAATTTATTGATGTAAAATTTTGTCCTCTGTGCCAATGTGCATCTCTGATTTGTAGATAACTTCTTTATTCTTGGTAATAATTAACAGCCTTAGGAGAAAGAAGTCTGTGCTTAAATGGAATGCTTGATCTCAGAAAATGGAAAGAATTTCAAGACTCTGATTACTTTATGACAAAGACATTTTACTGCCAGGAAAAATGGTAAAAAGCTTTTACTTTGATTTAGTCCTTGTTTTTCAATTCTTCCATTAAATTCAAATTTTATGTAATAGACCGTAAATATCCATTTTTAAAATTTAATATTTTTTACATAAAATATTTATTTCCTATGTCTTTGAACTGGAATAGAATTTGTGCATGCTGTTTTAATTTAAATACCATCATGACCATAATCTGAACATGTAGAAAAATATTTCTAGACCTCTTTGTTTAGTTTACTATTTTATTAAGAACTTTTCTAAACAAAATGTTCTTATTTTTACAAGTTTCTCAAAACAGAAGGGTAGAATTTTAAAAGCTCTGAATATAAGAGGGCTTTGATAATGTTTTGATTAAGGAAGGAAAGAGGGAAGAAATAAAAAAAGGAAAAAAAGAGGGTAAGAAAGGAAACTAAAGAAAGGAGTTAAGGGAAGAATAATGAAAAAAATGTATTTAACATCTACGTCTTGCTATAAGGTTAGATTCCCACTTCTTCCAACTTTTTCTCCCTTTTTTCTTTCAGATTATGGTCATAATGATATTTTAAACCAAACAACATTAATAATAATAATAAAGTTTTACCTGGAAACAGAAATAGAAAACACCATAAAAAAGCATGGTCCTGCAGCCACACAGTTCAATCCTATGAAGGTATTCAAATTAAATTCTAGAGTATGAAAACCTTTTTTAAAATCAAATTATAGAGCAAACTACTCTTTAAAAAACAGATTAGACCAGGTGCGGTGGCTTACGCCTGTAATCCCAGCACTTTGGGAGGCTGAGGCAGGTAGATCACGAGGTCAGGAGATCAAGACCCATCCTGGCCAACATGGTGAAACCTCATCCCTACTAAAATACAAAAAATTAGCAGAGCGTGGTGGCACATGCCTGTAGTCCCAGCTACTCGGGGGGCTGAGGCAGGGGAATTGGCTGAACTTGAGAGGTGGAGGTTGCAGTGAGCCGAGATTGCGCCACTGCGCTCCAACCTGGCGACAGAGCAAGACTCTGTCTCAAAAACAAAAAACAAAACAAAACAAAACAAAACAAAATTAAAAAAAAACAGATTATATGTAGCCACATGCCCAGCAGAGTTGACAATGTGGCGTATACTTGCAGTAAAGTACAAATGTGTTGGGGAAAGAAAATTGTATTTTCATAGATTGTTTCTAAGAAGAACATTATTTTCTTTTGGCCAAAAACCCTGAAGGCAGGAAGGGAAACGGAGTGAACTGCATGCGGAGATGAAATAGGAGTGGGAAGTTTCAGACGAATAAAAATCAAGCTGAAATCCCTTTCCACTCTCCCTCCTCACACACATTTTCTATATGGTTACTAAATTCATAACATGTTTGGCACACTGATTAGCATATGGTAGCACTCAATGAATGTTAGATATTATGTTGAATGGATTGAAACTGATGGAGTTGAGGCAACACTCTTGAAGAGATACATAAATGTGGGAAGCTGACCAACAGTCTCCAAAAGACATCCACATCCTAATCCCTGTTATCTGGCAGAGGGAAATTAGGGTTCTACATGGAATTATAGTTGCTAATCTGCTTTTTTTTTTCAATGAAAAGAATATCTTATATTATCCAGGTAGGCCCAATGTAATCACAAGGGTCTTAAAAGTGAAAGAGGAAAGCTGAAGAGAAGGTCAAGGTGATGTGATGTGAGATAGACTTAATGCACTTTTACTTACTTGGAAGTTGGAGAAAATGGCTAGGAGCTGAAGAATGCGAGCTTGGTCTAGAAGCTGGAAAAGGCCAGTGAATGGATGGATTCTCTTATAGCGACTCCAGAAAGCAACACAAGCCTGCTGAAACCCTGATTTTAGCCCATTAGGACCTGTACCAGACTTTTGACCTGCAGAACTATAAGATAACACACTCCATGTGAATTTAAGCCACTGACTCTGCGTTAAATTTTCACAGCAATAAAAAACTAATATAATGAGTAAGCAAACTTACAGGGATCTGCAGAAATGATTTTGCTAGTGATGTTTAGGAAAAGTGCAAACAGATCTCAGAAGAGATTGTGAAGATCTCATTTAATGGTTTACATTCTTTTTTTTTTTTTTTTGAGATGGTGTTTCACTCTTGTTCCCCAGGCTGGAGTGCAATGGCACAGTCTTGGCTCACTGCAACCTCTGCCTCCCAGGTTCAAGCAATTCTCCTGCCTCAGCCTCCCAAGTAGCTGGGATCACAGACACTGGCCACCACGCCTGACTTATTTTTTGTATTTTTAGTAGAGACGGGGTTTCACTGTGTTAGCCAGGCTGGTCTCGAACACCGGACCTCAGGTTATCTGCCTGCCTTGGCCTTCCAAAATGCTGGAATTACAGACATGAACCACCACGCCTGGCCCTTCCTTGGACTTTTCATCATTGCAAAGAACAAAGACTCACAGAAATTTAAGCACTATGGGCAGGGAATGCTTTAAATATATAGAAAGCAATATGGGAGGCAGAAAATCATGGGAATTCTAGAGCAGCAAATGTGAGCATCTAGGTTCTTCAAACCGAAAGATCTGGACCCTTGGAGGAGGAGTTTATGGACCTTCATTTTAAGGTCCTCTATTTAAAAGGCAGGTGCTCTCAGTCTCTCATTCTATTAGTATGTCTTCTAACTTCTTGCATAACCACTTTTTTGACTCTACTTTTCCATTGCCCAGCTTTTGATTACGTTTAAGTCTGAGATGCTCTGGTCATAATCCCAAATCATAACCTCTTATTAATGTGAGACCTATTTTATTTACCATCTACTTTATGCTAGTCACAAGAAGCTGGGATGAAATGATTAACAATATAAAAACATCTCAAGCCTCTTGAAACTTATTTTTTGAAAGAATGATTCCAAAATAAAAACTAAATACACCTATTTAATGGCGGAGCTTTTTGAGCAGGTGGGTTGATGATAGTGCCATTTACTGAGCTGAGGTGGGAAAGATGATTGGAGCTTAAGGAGATTAAAGATTATTGAGGCTCAGATTAAGGAGATTAAAGATTAAAGAGGTTTGAGGGTAGAAATGAAGAGTCTCATTTTTGGCATATTAACTTGGAAATGCCTATTTGACATGCAAGGGGAAATGTTAAATAGTCAGTTGGCTACATGGATACCAGCTGACTGATGTCTCCATATTTCCCAATTTAAATTTATAAGCAGAAGCTTTTTTCTTTTAAATCTACTGAAAAATCCCCTTATCAGTTTACATCCTAGCTTCCTTTGGGTCAGATCAACAATCATGATTCACATGTTCCCCCATTCTTGATTTCACTCCACAGGAACTAATATTTCCTTTACAGGCAGATACATTTGGGTTCAAATACTCTTGCCTTTAGGAATTTAAATGTATTGTAGGACTCTAAGTTCAGTTTTTCCACCTTTAAAGATGTCTAGTAATACCCACCTGCAGAGATTTTGTGGGAATTAAATGAAGTAGGTATACAGAACTGCCTAACTTGAATAATAGAATTTCATTCATATTAAGTGATTAATTTGATCATACACATTACCATTTTAATCTTTTAATCTTTACCACTACAATGAAAATACCTTGCTCTAGCTGTCAGATATTTGGCCTTGATTAACTAGAATGTGTATGAATTTGGAGAGTTAACAGGGTTTCTGAAATTCTAATTGAACAATATATCAGACACAGAAGAAATAGTTCACAAACATAATTTTAAGGTAATTATAGGTACTAGATACAGTCTCTGGTCAGGCCACCATTCTCTTTAGATGCCTAATGGATGATTATATTATTGCTATTATTATTATTGGCTCATCTGACCTTTTCTCCTTTCTAAGGAGCATCTCAGTTTTATTTTGTGGACTTACATTTTCCCCTTTGAACATATCTTCATGACACTGTAATCCAGTAGTCACATCCCTTAAGCCAGGCAACTTGACTCTCCCTCTATGGAATATCAATTTTAAACAGGGGAATAATACACTAAAAAAGATTGATGTTTATCCGTACCAGAAGTTGCATGCTAACTAGACTCTTCTTGCTAGAAAACCTTGCTTATAGTTTTTACTTTCTAGTCCTGGGGTATAAGTCTTGGTCTCTGTGCACTTCCAAATCTGATGCATTAGTATGCCCTGTTGACCTGTGGGTTCCCAAAATGCTCCCAGTAAGTTTCTTTTCATATAAATTAGTTAGAATGGGATCTCTAGCTTGCAAAGAAAGAGTCTCAACTGATATAAAATGTTACTGTAAACATCATCTTAATTGTGTCAGTCCCTTTGAGACATGAGGCTTGACTGAATGCAGGTAGACTTCCTTGGTGCTGAAAGTTGAGGCAGAAGTTTCTTATCTGAGGGATGCCAGAATTCAAGGGGTTGAGAAAGGAAAATCTATGCAGAAAAGGCAAAGGAATACAGGAAAGAAGTTCAGAGAGTCATCAAATTAAATTTGGCCACAAATGGATGTCAAAGCCAGGATTATGGTGGTGGAAATTTGAGTCCAAGAAGAGCTCAAATCGGTCCGGGACAATGGAGCAAGCATGAAGGGGAAGGAGGGTGGAAATGGGAATCTTGGAATTGAGATTAGAGGTTTTGCTGAGCTTCCCTCCTATGGCCTATGAACTGTGTAGGGAAGAGGGCTAGGATAGCTATGCCTCTCTTAAAGTATTCAGACAAACAGTATCTGCTAAGAGGTGAAAAACTAGAACTTTGTTTCATCCAAGTGTGTCTGTATCGCTCTTTCCCCACACCTTTATTGTCACAGGTTCTTTGCTGGAGGACAGGTTGGGCTTATTTCTCTTTATTATGACGACTTTGTATTTCATCTGCTTCAAGGTATATATTTTGAGTTTTTATGCACATTTGACTTTATTTTAATTGGTGTTACAATGCACTTACCATAACCCCAGTTATCAATGGAACTTTCAGTGTCACTTGTATTACTTCTATCTTTAGCTATAATATTTTGGACCAAAATAATATTTTCCTTTTTAATACTAGAAAATGTCCTTCCCTACTTTTGTAATGTCCATAGACTATAATAAAAGAGTGCTCTAATATACAACATAATTTTTGCTCAGTGTCAAAGATGCTGTCAGTTAAATTTAGAAATTTTTGTTTAGCTTTCCCACAAGGCCCCCCTCCACCCCATGCCCAGTGATGTTTTTTGTTCATTTATAAGTCTGGGCATTGGTAGACCTTCTCTATCATGTAGGCAGTATGAAAATTCCCCCCAAAGTTCAAGTTTTTGTGGGGATGGGGCGGGGGAAATTTCAAAATAAAGATGAGTCTTTCTCAGAATTTCTAGATAGGTCAGTATTAAGAACATACTTTATAATATTTTCTTCTATACAATATAGGACTTTAAAACTTAACAGATGGCACCAGAAACCTTTCCCCTCATACTTAGCAAGGGGATTTTTCCAAGTTCCTCCTTACATTCCGAGGCAGAAAATGAAACAGCAGGTTAGTGACAATAATGCATTTCTAGACACTGTGCATCTACATGTGATTTAACTACAAATATGTATCTTTGGCATGGAATCACTTCCTCTGAATATAATAGAACCCAGCAAAATCCCACCTTTAATGTAATTGTATGCATGAATTTTTGAATGCTATTCTTTCAAATAAGGAGTATGTAAATAAAAACTGATGCGAGAATCTTTAAAAATCCATGTTAGCTTCTGCAATCCACATAGAGCTTTCTACAGGCTGACACAATTTTAGGGTAATACACAAGTAAATTTAAGCTATTTGGAGCCTATAGAGATTATATCAGAGGATATCTGCAGAATGTCAGCGTTTTTGAAAGAGGTAGGATATGAATGGTATTTAGAAAGAAAAGCTTGATAAAGATCTTTTGTACTATTGTATAGAATTGTTTCAGAGAAATATTATCTTTTGTTTGCTATTAAGCTTTGTCAGATGCGAATCCAAAAAGCATATTGATTTGTTGTCAGTAAGTTGCATATGCTGGATGGATCTGTTTATAGAACTATTGTAGGAAGCTGATTTCATTCTGCCTGTGTGGGGCAGATAGCAGTAGAAAAAAAGATCCGATTTACCTCCACGATACCCTTGACAAGTAATTTCTTCATGCATTTTGGATTTGATTCATAAATAAAGTATAGAGGAAGACATCTCATAAATCTAAGGATAGGTTTGAACTATTTTGTTGTGACATACTCTGCAAATTATTTTCTTTCTTCATTTTCACTGCTAATGCTTAATGGATAGGATGTGTTCTTCGGTCTGTCTCAAGATATGAGATACTAGTCATGTTTAATTTATTAGCAGCTAATTTTACTCCCTTTACTCCAAATTTGATTATCTAAAGAATCAGAATGGAAGCTGACATATGGTTTCTCTGCAGTACTGGTTGAACATCTGCAATTTATGCATTATTTTAAATTTATCAAGTAAATTGCTTACATAAGTAAGACAATGTTTTATCTTTATTCAATTAGGTTGACTTGAATCTCTACACTTTTATTCTAAGATGTACAGTGTGCTCTGTTGTACAAAAAACAAGAAGAACCAGTGGGCAAAAAAAAAAGTTTTCTTGAGTTTTGAACTCAGATGCAAATACTTAAAAGGGAAGCTATCATTCTTTGGAAGGGAAGACGTGCTTCAGTGGAGAGAAAAATGAGGAGGAAGAAATTTAGAGCTGTAACTCTGGCTTTATGGAAGTATGTACCTACTAGGAGAGCGGCAAAAATGTTCTCTGTCTCCTTCTTCTCCTCCTCTTCCTCCTTCTCCAGAGAAAAATGAAGGTTTCCTTGAGCATTTTACCAGGTGATCAATCATATGTGCATGTCTATTTAATTCAGGAATTGGATTGGGTATGAATCACAAGAAAAGCTTGCCTGGAATTGTATGACTTCCCTTATTTCATTCATTGTGAGTTTCTCCAGGGATCCTGGGTCTTCATTTAAGACTAAGCGTCTAAAATTCTCCTTTGTAAAGATGCATCCAAACCTGATTGATTGCACTTATTAACAATCTGAAATTCTTTACGTTGTGTGATTTCTGAAAGTCTTTTTCTCATCACATTTTTCCTATGACTTTCTTTTACAGATACCATAAATTCTTATAGGTGATATACTCGAATAAAATTCCAAACTGTGGTGCTCATGTTTCAGAGTCTTTGGGCTTCAAAATATCCATTTAAAAACTGACAGCACCATTATTCCAGTTCTTCTGCGTTATATCCTGTGGAACATCTTTTATTCTATCTACTTGACTACCCCTTGTAGATAATGAGCACTGAAACTTTTTTTTTTTTGGTCAAATAGTATCAAATTTGGTATATTTTCCTTTGGATTTTATAAACTTTCAGATTTACTTCTTAACACAGAGTGCCAACCTATGTACCAGACACTGTTCTAGGCACCAGAAATATAGATGTGAACAAAATATGCACTCTTTAAGCTTATATGTGTGCATCAGGTGGGACAGGGAAGGGCGGACAATACTAAGTCAACAAATAAAAGAACAAAGTGATTTCTAATAGTGATAAGTGCCAAGAAAGAAACCTGGGCAATTTTCAGTGTGATAGGACTGAATAGTTAAGGAAGGCTCCTTGGAGAAGGTGTTATGTGAGCTAAGATATCACTGTTACAAAAAAGCTGAAGACGTAAAAATCTGAGGAAGGACACTCACCCAGAATGAGGGGCAACTGCAAAATCTGTGGAAGAAATAAATTCTTTGTGCCTGAGGAGTGTAAAGAAAGTCAGTATGAATAACGTATAGGAAACAAATGACACAGTGGCAAGAAGAAGGTTGTAGCGCACATTCAGGTCAGATCATATTGGTCTTGTAGGCCCTGCGTGATTTTGTTTAAGGAGCCATCTATGATTCTAGGTGTGCTGGGATTCCATTGGTTGGTGTAAGCCAGGGAGTGACAGGATCAGATCATTCATTCAGGCTTCTCTGTGCAGGATGAATATGAATAAGGGAGCTCGACTCAATGAGTTCCTAAGTGCAAGCAAAGAAACCAGCTTTGGCTGGTTTAAGCAGAAAGTTATATTTTTTGGTCAGCATATTGATTAACCCGGAGAATTGCCAGGAAGGCTGGGGAAACAGACTGAAACACAATGAAAATTACATCACCCAGCTGGTAGACCAGGCTGCAGCTGAGGTCTCACCCAGTTCTGCACACCTAGAGGCCCTGCGGTATTCTGTCTCTGGATATTGACTCCTCCCCAGAGATGTTCTAGTCTCTCTACTTCTGTGGGTCACTAGCTTTGGACTCAAGGTCCTTGGAGTTGTCTTTGGTTTCTGAAGTTCTGCAAGAATAAAAGCTATAGAAATGTGCATCCTGTAATTTCAGCTCCTAGAGCAGGAAGCAAGTTTTCACGGCACATGCTATAAGTGTAAGAAAGGTTTCATAAGCTACACATATAATAAGGTGACATATATTCACTATAGCAGCTTGTGCAGTGGTTTAGTGGAGTAACCATTTGGCTTGGAATAGCCTGGTGGTAGTAGTGAGAGAGATCTTGAGATTCTAAATTATTTGAAGGTAGAGTCAGTCGAGATTTCTTTTGCCTGGATAAGGAGGATGAAAAGAGAAAGGAAGAACTGAGTGAAATTCTTATGTTTGGGAATTGAGAGCCTGGGTGGATGGTGGGAACATTGAGAATGGGGGAGACGAGGTAGAAGGTGGGCATGTGTTTGGCCACATAATCAATGCTCTTTTGGTTATGTTATATTTTATATAGCCATTAGACATTTAAGTGGTGATGCCAAGTTCAATTAATTCTAAAATTTAAGGGCAAAGTCAAGGGTAGAGATATAAATATGGCTTCAGAGGCGTCTTGTCCCTTTTTCCAATAAGACATTATGTTTATTCCTGCCATTTGAGACTCTTAAGAATTTGCTTTAATGGTATCAATTATCTTCATACTTAATAACTTTAAATAGCTATGCTAAATAGTATGTAATATAAAGTAGAAACTCATCTACTGAGCTTTCATGGCACCCTGTAGTATTTTTTCATTTTTTTCAATTGCTTTATTTATTTCAAATGGATTTATTTAATGGATAAAATATATGTATTTATCATGTACAACATCATGTTTTGAAGTTCATATACATTGTGGAATGGTTAAATCATGCTAGTTAACAAATGCATTACCTCACATGGTTGTCATTTTTGTAGTGAGAGCACATATTATCTACTCTCTTAGCATTTTTCAGACATATTCATATTCATATTCATATGTTATTTTCCATTGCTTCCTAGCACACAGATAAGTGCTTCTGTGATTAGGCCAGCTTTGTCACTCGATGTCCCGTAGGCCTGATTCCAATTTTTGTTGTTGTTGTTATTTCCCCAAACTGGAAACATTATAGCAGAATGTTTAAGAGAATTTTGGAGTATGACAGACCAGAGGTGGCTCCTGGACAATACCAGATATTGGCTGTATAATCTAGGGATTCATTACACCTTTCTAGTCCTCATTTGTAAAATGAAGATAATAAGACCTATTCCATGGGGATGTGGTGAGAATTAAATGAGAAAGTGTTCGTAAACACTTGGCACACATTGAGATACTCAGTACATGGTAACTATTTTTGCTAGCCATTCCCTTACCTTTCCAAATACAAAAAACAAATCATCCTTCAAGCAAAAATTTATCCTTCAAGTCCAAACTCATGAAGCTCCTTGAAGTCTTCCTCAGCTGGTCAAGGCTATAATTGAAAGCTGCAGCTGTCCCTCCAAAGGTTTGTTGAAAGAATGACAAAAGTTTGTAAATATCCAAAAACAAAATGCAAGGAACAGTCAGCCCTCTGAGGCTGAGGCTGGAAGTCAAGTCTAAGAGGATCCCCTTGCCTTGCCACAGGACTGTGAAGTCTTAGAGTCTTTTATCCCTGCTTCTATCTGTGCATCTATGCCACCCAACTAGATAGATGCCATCTAATTTCTCTGTGCTCGCCTAGTTTCTCTGCTTACAAAAGACTTCTCTGCTTCCCTTAATTTCCTGTTGCATATGCTTCTGGCTTGTTCTGATTTATTTCCACTATAGCACCATGTGAGTTTACAGGTCACATGAACTGTGACTCTTAATTTACATGTCTGTGACCTTCATTTAAATTTTCCAGAGACAAAACGTTTGGCTTAAAGCGTTTATGATTCCTTTTGGGTCAGATGTCCAGCTGTAACCTGGGTGCAAAATGAGGCTGCGTGTATTAGGCTTACACCATTATAGAAGTTGTAGGCAGAACAGTTTAAGCTAGAGTGGTTTTTGGGTACAGAAGGTAAAATAATTTGTTGTCAGGGGTAATTTGTTTATAAAGAGTAGAAGGCCACTCAAACTAGCTCGGGTAATAAGGGATTTAACTGGAAGTATCCACGGGGAACATAAAAATGTAGGACATAAAATACAGCTGGGTCACATAGGAATTGGAAAATTGTCAGGAAAATTGCCTCTCTCTGTCTTAACCTGACTTTGCAGATCTCTATTTTTCTCTCTGCAGACTGGATGTGTTCACACATTTAGTACTATTAATTGCTTGTTCGACATAGGCAAAGAATTTGTCCAGGCACAGTTCTAGGTTTTCTCTGCTTATTTATGGAAACAAATCTTTATAATTTTGCTTACCTTGATTTTATCTCCGTTGATTTAGTTAATTGTAACATTGCAGTGTCCAGGGCTTAGTCTTTCCATCTGTTTTTTTTTTCTTCCCTTTATACTAATTCCATTAGTGATCTCATCCAGTCTCATGGCTATAAATTCTATGTATATGCTGACAACCGCAAATTTATATCTCTAGCCTGGTCCTCTTCCCTGAACTCCAGACCCATATATCCAGCTACCTGCTTAATATCTCTGCTTGCATTTATAATTGGCAACTCAAACTTAACATGTCCAATATATGACCCCTGATTTCACCTCCCTTTCTAAACTTGTTCTCATCACAGCCTCTCTCCTCTCAGTTGATAGTAACTTTTATTTTTCCAGTGGCTGAGGCCCAAACCCTTGATGTTATCTTTGACTCCTTCCTTTTTCTCATACCTCATCTGAAGTCAGCAATTCCTGTAGGCTCTACCTTTAAAATATATCCACGATCCAACTACTCCTCATTGCCTCCATCACTACCAGGCCACTATCATTTTGACTTGAATAAATGCACTGAATGTCTAGTTTCCCAACAGTCTATTCTCAATAGATTTTTCATAGTGATCCTTGTAACAAATAATTAAGACTGTCGACTCCTCTGCTCAAAACCCAACTTTGGCATCCCTTCTCATGAAGAATAGAAGTCAATGGTCTTATAATCCCCGCTAAAGCCCACAAGCTCTATCCCCTGCCCATTTACTTCCAACTTTATTACTATCACCCTGGTTCATTCTTCTCTTGCTGCACTGACTTCTTTGTTGGTCCTTTAGCCAGCTAGATGAGACCATGCCTCAGGGCATTGTCACTTACTTTTTCTTCTGCCTGAAAATTCCTTTCCTAAGATGTTTATGTGCTTCTCTTCTTCAACTCCTCTAACTTTTACTTAAATATTACCTTTTCTGTGAGGCTTTCCCTTACCGTCTTAGTTAAACGTGTAAGCTCTCCACCTTGCTCTTCCTGTTCTTGCTCTCTGTTTTAATCCATAGCACTTATCTCAGTCTGAAATGATACCTGTCTTATGATTGATTCATTCTCCCCCTCCAGAAGAAAGTAAAGTCCGAGATTTCTGACTGTTCCATTCATTGCTGTGTCCTCAGTATCTAGAAAAGTACCTGGTCATTAGCAGCAGTCAATAATATATACTGAAGTAATGAGAGCATTGATGAATGAGCAAGGAAATAGCAAGTTGTCATGATTTTGTTTGGTTGCTATGTAGAGTATCCATGGAGGAGAGATCATCTTTCTTATATAACTAGAATTTGAAAAGCATTTCACGTTTTCTATTTCATATAACCTATTGTATGTGGTACATGATATTCTCCCCGTTTATCAATGAGGACACAAATGCAGAGAGTGAAAGCAACATGACTGAAATAGAGCTGTCATTTCAACCAAGTTATATCTCTTTTCATCGTCGGTGCTCCTTCTATTAAGACATGCTGCAGAATTATAATTTCTATCCTCCTCCCTACACATAACATTTCTGTTTCTCAAGTGATAGTGAGCACCTTCACTTCTCTTTTCATTGCAGAAACAGCATTGGAAAAAGACATAGAGTTTTGCTTCTTTTTTTTTTTTTTGGTACATAATGTGAAGAAATATATTTTCACAAAAGATAGTGGACTTTGGAGTAAAGTCTTCCATTACTGGAGCTATTGCATTCCACCTCTGACAGTCATTAGTGACCCTTTGCCCTTCTTTCCAGATAGTTATCATCAGGCCCTTCTGACTTCTGTTCTCCACAGCCTTCCTCCCTTCCCAGCTGAGCCATTTCCTGCTTAAAAGCCCAATCCATTCTTAGGTTCTTGCGTCGTGAAGGCAATATTTCCCCCTAATGTTTCCGAGAATGGTAGTTGCAGGTTTTCTGAAAATTTCTTCTGTTCCCCACATTGTCTCTCCTTTCTACAAAATTATTCCTTTTTTTCCCTCTTTGGTTTCTATCTCTAATCTTACAAAGTTTTCTCTGTTCTTGTTTGCTTGTTCATTCATATTACAGAGTAAAAGGAAGCACTGGTTGCCTGGTAGGCCTTAAGCATGAAGGCATATCAATGAGTAAACCCACTTCCAAGTGTGAATATCTGGTTTCCTTCCTCTTGGTCTCTCCATCTAAGTTTCTGGTTTGGTTGTTGCATTTTGCAAGCTGAAAGTGCTGAGGAGGCCAGAGATCTCATTATTCAGTCTGTAGACTTCCCTTAATCCCTAGTTTGTGGTACAGCACATCAGCTCTCCTTGATGTGTGTCTCCAGGTCTGCAGGACTAATTACTTCATGCACAGAGAGGGCAGTGGAGTTAACCAGTCCTCTGCTTTCAGCTTCCCTGCTCTCCCACAGACACCCATTTCACCTGCTTCAAAAGTACATGTCTCCGATTCCTGAGTCCTTCTGAGATTCTGTGGCCCAAACATAATAAATTAACTCTTGCAGTTTTCTCCCCAGACAGGCATGTAGATGAGAACTTTCTGCATTCTTGTGAGTCATTTACCACCCAGAGCAACATGACAAATAGTGTTTAGGTGTCCAGGCTCTGGGGATAAACTGCCTTGGTTCAAATCTTGACTGCCACTTATGAAGTAAATGATCTTGGATAACTTCTTCAGCCTTTCAGTGCCTTCCTTACCTGTCAATTGTAGATAATAATATTGCCTGACTCATAGGGCTAGTACAACAATTAAAGTACTTACAAAAATATCCAGCAGGTAATAGGTGCTAGAAAAATGTTGGATTTATTAGATACTTGTAGGTTTTCCAAAATTTGCTGATATCAATCAGTTACTGTTGTCCTCTCTTCTATCCCCAAATTGATGTACCATAAGTGATACATCTCCTTATGTATCACTATGGTAACTGAATACCCATTTTGGTAATCTGTCTGGTACTTGAGTGCCTCTAGAAGATGGCTTCCCTTCCATTCGCCTTCCTAGGCACCAGGGTCCTACTACTGAACTCCAGCCAGAAATCTGCTTAGATTTCTGTGAATCTCATATGCCTGGAGTAACCTTCACCATGCCCAATTCAAAGATACATTATTACTTTTGTATGTTGGAATTTTCCATGGCTGTGGCTTGGCCTCAGCAATTCTAGTCACAATGTTCTTGTTGACTGGGGCCAAATTTCTTTTCTTTTTTTTTTTTTTTCATCTTTGGATCCTCCCCAGATTTTAACTGGACCATGCACAGGTGGACTCAACTTCCTTTTTGTTTTTTTCTTTCTTTTGATTTCCAAATTCTCCCAGCCATGGATGGTGGCTCACATCTGTAATCCCAGCAAAATTGGGATTGCTCCCCAAAAAATTTGGGAGATTGAGGTGGGAGGATTGCTTGAGCCCAGGAGTTTAAGATCAGCCTGGGCAGCATAGCTAGGCCCCATTTCCACAAAAAAATAAAAAAGAAAGAAAGAAAAAGTTTAAGTCAGATTCTCACTTCTCATTTACACTTTTATCTTTTTTCTCTAATTCCTTTCCTTCTGTGAAAGTTGAAATTGTACTTTTAATAAAAACTTTTAATCCTATGAATTGATAGCAATAAGATGACAGATGTATACTAAATCCACTGGAAATAAGTTTGAGTGGCTATATACATGTGAAATGATAATCAATGCATTATTGTTTGGGGAGATATGATTGTTTTTCCCATTACTAGAATACGAGGCATTTTTAATTTGTTATTGTACATTAACAAAACATTCCAATTTCACCCTAGTTGCACATTAAACTTCCTATTCCAAAAACAGAAACAGTAATATATTTTTATTCATAGTTTACTATAGTGAAAATGTCATTTTCATAACCACTTTCCTATGCCACTATTGTCATTACTATCAAATTAAGAAATATAAATATTTATTTAGAGATTGCTATGAATATGAAGGGTTTAAGATTGTACTATATTTACTCTTTCCTCTCACAAGCTTTTGGGAGAAATAGTCATTTTGAAGTGGATGAAAATGACCTCAAGATTACAGAGCTCATCTAAAATATTTAGTAATGTAAGCTGCTGTGTGCTGGAAAACAGAAATTATCTTTACAGAAGCCAGAAGCACTGTAAACAGTGGAATTGAGACTACTAGGCCTGGAGTGGGAAATGTCCCTTGCTAAATTGTCAACTACTAATTAAAATAAACTGCATTTTTTCCTTTATATGACTTTTTTTTTTTTTTTTTTTGAGATGGAGTCTTGCCCTGTCACCTAGCCTGGAGTGTAGTGACGTGATGTTAGCTCACTGCAACCTGCATTTCCTAGGTCAAGCAATCCTTGTGCCTCAGCCTCCTGAGTAGCTGGGACTATACGTGTGTGCCACCACAACCAGCTAATTTTTGTATGTTTAGTAGAGATGTTTAGTAGAACACATTTCATCATGTTGGCCAGGCTGGTCTCGAACTCCTGACCTCGTGATCCACCTGCCTCAGCCTCTCAAAGTGCTAGGATTACTGCCATGAGCCACCATGCCCGACTTAAACTGCATTTTTATTTGCTTGTTCATTTTTGGTTACAATTGTGTATACTACTGTGCTATGTTTATTCTTTCTGTGAGGGAGCAGGTGTCTTAATCACTGTACAGGGATCAGCAGAATTTCCCTTATAGAGCTCTAATAAAGCAGAAATCAACTTCTAGGAACACATCTCATGGAAGGAAGGAGGGAAGCAGGGAAAGAAGATAGAAAGGAAAGAAAGGAGGGAGGAAGAAAGGAAGGAAGGATGGAAAAATTTGCTTGAACTAGTTCCTATTCCAATATTCCTTGCCTCCAGTACTGATTTACTGTTTGCTAATGTCATGCATACTCATTTAGACTACAGTCTTAAAAAGATTGCCATCTAAATACAGAGAATCATGTAGGAAGTCAAATAGGAGAGTATTGCTTCTAATTTGAGTTTAGGCCCATTATTGGCTTTGTAAATGCTCAGTCAAAATTACTGAGTACAGCTATCTGGAGACTTAAAATTTTGTAACACTTTTAAAGTAAAAATAGATATATTACAATGAAGATAGGAATTCATTGTGTTTTAATTTTATTATCTGACTGATACTGGAGAGGCATGGTTATCTTTGTGAATTCGTATATTATACTCCATTGTACTACAACAACTCAATAACTCCATAATTTTATTGTTATACCATTATTTTCTTGTGGAAATTAAAAGGTCAAAAGTAGATAATTCAGATATTCATATTATTTCCCCTATATATTTTTGTTTGCTTGTTTAGAAACGTGTTTCTTTCAATTCTAGAGAAACAAATGACTTCTTTAAAAAATAATTCTTTGCAAACCATTTGATAGGAAACCATTTTGGCATTTAGTAAGCCTGTAGAATTATGGGCTTAGGATGCTTTATATTTTGTTAATAAACTTGAAAATGTTTTGAAAAATAATACTTTTTAAGACATCATAGATGACACAAACAAATGGAAACACATACCATGCTCATGGATGGGAAGAATCAATAATGTGAAAATGTCCATACTGCCCAAAGCAATCTACAGATTCAAAACAATTTCCATAAAAATACTACCATCATTCTTCATGGAACTAGAAAACACAATTCTAAAATTTATATGGAGCCAAAAAAGAGCCCACATAACCAAAGCAATACTAAGCAAAAAGAACAAATCTGGAGGCATCACATTACTCAACTTCAAATTATACTACAAGGCTATAGTTACCCAAACAGCATGGCACTGCTATAGAAATAGGCATGCAGACCAATGAAACAGGATAGAGAACCCATAAATAAAGCCAAATACTTACAGCCAACTAATCTTCAACAAAGCTTACAAAAGCATAAATTGGGAAAAGGGCACTTTATTCAATAAATGATACTAGGAAACCCGGCAGGGCACATACATGTAGAAGAATGAAACTCGATCCTCATCTCTCACCTTATGAAAAAATCAACTCAAGATGGATCAAAGATGTAAATCTAAAACCTGAAACCATAAAAATTCTAGAAGATAACATAAAAAAACTCTTCTAGACATTGGCTTAGGCAAAGAATTAATGACTAAGACCCCAACAAAACCAAAAATAAGTAAATGGGACGTAATTAAGCTAAAAATCTTCTGCACAGCAAAAGAAATATTCAGCAGAGTAAACAGACAACCCACAGACGGGGAGAAAATATTCACAAACTGTGCATCTGACAAAGGACTGATATCCAGAATCTATAAGGAACTCAAACAAATCAGCAAGTAAAAACCAAATAATTCCATCAAAAAATGAGCAAAGGGGATGAGTAGGCAATTCTCAAAAGAAGATACACAAATGGCCATCAGACATATGAAAAAATGCTCATCATCACTAATTCTCAGGGAAATGCAAATTAAAACCACAATGAGATACCATCTTACTTCTCCAAGAATGGCCACAATTAAAAAATTGAAAAACAGTAGATGTTGGCATAGATGTGGTGAAAAGGGAACACTTTTATACTGCTGGTGGGAATACGAATTAGTGCAACCATTATGAAGAACAACATGGAGATTCCTTAACGGACTCAAAGTAGAACTACCATTTGATCCAGGAATCTCACTACTAGGTATCTACCTAGAGGAAAAGAAGTCATTATATGAAAAAGACACATGCACATGCATGTGTATAGCAACACAATTCACAATTGCAAAGATAGGAAATCAAATTACGTGCCCATCAACTAAGGAGTGGATAAAAAGTAGTGTTATATATATATAAATATACCATGAGATACTACTCAACCATTAAATGGAACAAAATAATATATCTTGCAGCAACTTGGATGGAGCTGGAGGCCATTATTCTAAGTGAAGTAACTCAGGAATGGAAAACCAAATATCATATGTTCTAACTTATTTGGGGGCTAAGCTATGAGGATGCAAAGGTATAAGAGTGATATAATGGACTTTGGAATCTTAAGGGGCAAGGCTGGAAGTGGATGAGGGATACAAGACTACATATTGGACATAGTGTATATGGCTTGGGTGATGGCTGCGCTAAAACCTCAGAAATCGCCACTACAGAAGTTATCCATGTAACCAAAACCCACCAGTACCCAAAACACTATTGAAATATTAAAAAATTTAAAAACAATACTTTTAAAGATTTTTTTCAAAAAAAGTCTCACATCAAAACGTTGTATCAGCCTCTCCCTGTCAAACATGCCAGGCTCATGAGTTCTGCAGGTCCAAGGTATGAACGTCCGCCTCCCTGAGCCTCATTGGTCTACTAAGCCAGTTACAGATGATACCAGAGCAGCTTAGTTCTAGCATGTTGTCAAAATGACTATAGCTTCCCAGTAAATTTGTAAAATGTGGTAGATGGAAGGAGACACCTTCCTGTATATGTATGTATGTGTGTGTGTGTGTGTATATATATATATATATATATATATATATATATATATATATATATATATATATATAAAACACTACTTTTACCTGAGTTTACTAAGACTCAGAAGAGACAAGCCAAAGAGCCCTAAATGTTTTTCCTTTGAAGATTGATTTGAATGCCATAAAATATGCAGAGTTCAGAGTTATTTAGAGCACAGTGACTTTGGAGGCAAGCAATGCTGTGAGTTCCATCCCTCGGTGAGTTTTATAGTTCCACTCTTAGTAACTATGTGCCCAATTTCATCCATAACTCTAGCTCAGAGTTTGCTAATCAGTGGCCCACAGGTCAGATCTAACCCTTAGTGTTTCATTTAGACCACCTTTTTAGGTGTTTATTGTTGCTAACATGCAATGGAAACAATCTCTGTTTCTAATTTTACTTAAGAAATCAGAAGCTCTGTCTGAGTGATATGCACACGCCCCATCTGGGACCAATCGGCTGGAGAAAGTGGCTGCTACTCCCTTCTGATGGCTCTTCGTGACACCACCCTCCTCCCTCAGCCCACACATCTTGAATCTGTGAACCTGCCTGGGACATGTATCATTTGGCAACCTTGCTTTAAGATCTAGGGCAGCTCTTAGCCTACATAGCATCATTTTATTATTTAGGAAAAGTGACCCTGGCTGCCCCATGCAGGACATAAACTGCATTTCAGCCTCTTCTCACTACTTCAGCCAAGTGTCCTTTTTAGCAGACAAACTGCCCAAGTTTATGCAGCATATACAACCAAAGCCAACATATCTAGACAAAATGGAGGTCCTTCTTGAATTCTGAGGTTGAGTGAGCCAGTAGAGATGAATCAGCACAAGTTAATCATTGTGTCTTGGAAGAAAAGACCAAAAAAGAAAAAAAAAAAAACCCACAAAACTGGAAGTCTACTGCTTTGTTTTAAAGGGACGACAACATTACTGGACCACACAGGCACATTTAATTTATGTTGTATCAGTAAAGCTTTTGTAAAGATTTCCCTTAATGTTACCATTTTTCAAAGTTCAAATCCAGTTCTTTTATAAATTTGAGCTTTTTCACAAATAACTAAACCTGAGTATTGTGGAGTGACTCATATGCTGATGGATCGGGCTTCCTTTTTAAAACAAGCACTCTATAGAGACATTTGAAAACCAAATTCATAAAACAAGGCTCATTTTGTCATGTGTGGGCATTCATAAATGTCATAGCTAGGAAAGGAGAGAAGAAGAATTTCCTTTTTCAATTGTTGAGCACTGCCTAGGAGTCTCTCCACATGCAGTGGCATTGTGATGAAGTTGTACAAAACCTTTCTAGCTTTACCCCAATGACTGCTTTAATAAGGACACTTGAGATAGGCTTGAAGGAAACACATCGTGCCTGTGCTTTGCTTACTGATGGTTCTACACAAAAGCCTGATATTGATCTGGCATCAGAGGGGGTTTCTGAAAATGCTGGAGATGACGTTCTGTTAAAGATATATTGGTAGAGTTATTTAGAAAGAAAATAATTAGGTTTAGTTTTCTGTGGTAACTAATCCATAAATACTTTTGGATGGAAAAGCTTAGCATTCTGAAGCACTGGGCAAAGTTCCTTGTGTATTAGAGGCAGGGGATCAAGGGCAGATATTTACAAGATCCTTTAGGTTGTCACATCCTCAAGCTGCACAGCATGAGGACTATTTGTAAGCCAGAGTTATTCTTGCAGCAAACATTCAAGACTGCTAAGAAGGAGCAGTCTGTGGTTTGTCAAGTGTGCATTATTCTAGGTGACCCTGGGTTAGATTTGCCCAGATCATATGCAAGAATATGGGAGAAAGTGTAGGCAGAAAAAAATTCTGTTTGTTCTATGATGGTTCTGTACTAAACTTACAGTCAGACAATTAGACAGTTGAATGTGCTTCAGATTCTTATGATTATTATTATTTTACTAATTTCATTATCTCAATTCTCCTCAGAAGTAAATACAACAGTTAAGCTACCTGGGGACTCAATAACCCACATCATTGACTCTGAGCCTCTAAGACTCAGCAGCAGTGGAGGATGAAGCCCAGTGAAGGTGTACTGAGTAGTTTTCCATTTTAACATGCCTCCCACACTCTCAACTCAATATTTCACAGATTGGGGTTGACAAGCAAAGTAGTCTGAAGAATGCAGCCTGATAGTCACATATTATCTGTCAAGGTAAAAACTCCCTTAGGGTTTTGGGAAAAAGAATCTTTTCAACCTGTCATTTAAAAACACTGCAGGTTTCAGCCTGTCTACTATCCCCCATTGCAGAGACCAGTCTCCAAATGCTGTACCATATGATAGCACCCCACAAATACAAGACAGAACAAAGATGCATCTGACACTGTTTGAGTCCCTCTCCTCAAACAGTCCTGGATATCACAGGCAGAAAGAAAAAGCAACTTAATTTTCTATTAAATCAAGTGCCCTCATTAACACAGCTTGATTCACATTGCATCAAGTCAGTACTGATGGAACTGTCTATGATAGTCAGGAATACTTAATTACTGAGGAACAAATCACTGTTTATTGTTAGTGTACCATTTTAAATATTTCCAGAGCTTGGCCAACTGTGTTTGGATGTTATCTGATAATAGAATATATATTTAAAAAATATACCTCTTCTGCCAGTGAAAATAATGATTATCCCTGGAAGGGTAAATTATTATAAAATTCCTGTGAAGGATGAGGCTATGAATTAAATTTATTTATTTGTTCCCATGCAGCCTTAATGTGTCCCACCTTCAATATGGACCATCACCTTTCTCTGTGTCTGTGTCATCTCAAAAAAAAGCTCTGGAATTCAGCATCATAAAAGTAGATATCTTCAATCTAGGCCCTCTCCCTCAGACCGATTTATGTAGTTATGATATCATCCTTGCTGGGATTTCCCAAATCCATTTTTCCTCCGTATATCAGAGTCTTCATCCTTTAATAATAAGTTCTGTAACTTTTCCTGCCTGCTTTTTTCATACATCTCTTTTTAATGTTAGTCCAGTCTCTTGTTAACTCATGATTGGATTACTGAATTCTTTTAAATGTATTTCTGTTTTCAGGATTTTCTATCTTCGAGATTCTATTTTTACTGTAGCCCAAGGTATATATAGTCACTATGTTGATTCCAGGTATCATAACACTTGACTATTGGACATTTGGCATTGATCAGATCAAATATAATACCTATCTTCAGATTTCCAGTCACTTTAGCTTATTGCTTTCTTTCTTTTCTTACTGCATTTGTTTTCTTCTGTGTTGGTTGTCATGACGTCCCTCCAGGTAAGCTAACACTTCCATTCCTTTCATATGGCACCCCTGCTGAAACTACATCCAGGTTTTCTATGCCTCAGAAAGCCTAGAAACTGATTGTTCTCCCCCTTTTCTATTTCTCATTTCCCTTCTTTATCCGCCTCCCCCCAGCTGTCTCAATGAATATTTAATGGTGGTGCTTTACAAAGACAATATCAAGAACAATCTTGCAATGGATGAATAAAAAACGGATGAATAAAAAATGGCAACAAGGAGCTTATATAACCAAAATACTTGCTGGCTTTCTCTTGCTTACAAATAACATGTGATCCTCCACTTCATTCCCCCAACCATCTGCCAAAGTTATAGTCCCAGGTTTGCTGATTTAAGAGTTCACTCTTTTGTAATTTCCCCTAATAATTCATGGTAAAAACAATGTTCTATATTCAAAATCATGCTTTTACTACAGTGAATGCCATATTATATGGAGTTGGTACCACATCTCTAATAATTAATTGTAGCTTCAAGGTAATTAAAGATGGTTTAAAGTACAAGTTGGAAAATTGATATTTCATATCATTTCCCTGGGTCAGTGAAGAGAAACAGGCCCAGCTGCTGCCTGAATGGGATTACCTTTCAGCCAACACACATGTGCCTATTTGGGGATGAGGTTAGAGTTCAGTTAATATTCAGAGAGGTTATCCCACCACAAATGTAAACTGATGCTATACTGAAGTCATTTACAAGAGAACCATGAACACTCTAGCAGGAACACCCACCTCAAGGGGACGGGGTGGGGAGTTGTATTAAGGTGGAGGTTTGTGCGGGGGCTTGAAGGATGAGAGGAGATTTCCTCAGAGGACGTGGTGGGCATTTCCAAAAAGGGGATGATGTGTACTAAAGCAAAGCGGCTGGAATAAGGTAAGGATATTTAGGGAACTGCAAGTTCAGGGAGGTAGAGACATATGTTTTTAAGGAGGAAAGTCACTTGATCAAGTTAGAAGTTTAGAAAAATCCCTCTGGCAACAAAATAGAGGTTGGATTAGTGAGTCTCAGACGATATGCCCGAAGACTGGTGTATTCAGAGCTACTCAAATCAATTAACAATAGTTTAGCAGGAAAAACTCAAAATTGGTACTTTCTTCAACTATAAGATTTTCTTCCATATTTTCAATTTTTAACATTTCTATTCTTTTTTAATTTTACCACAAATCCCAGCAGGTGATATAAATAAATAACACATGTGGTATCAATTTGACAAAAAAACTGTATTAACTGAACAGTCATTTATGCTTAGTCTGTAAATTTAGTTTTTGCAAATATGTAATGTCTGTGGTTTTGCTTTTATATTTTCTCAGAAAAATATAAAATTTCACATTTTTTCTTATAAAAATTCCCCAGTTTGTATGCTCAAATGCATCTCTAAATGTTTCATGATATCCATAAAATAAAAATGACAGGCAAAGCAGCTCTGCTGCTCTGTCTCGTATCTTCTCCGTTTCCCCTCTGATTCTGGCTCTGCTTGCAGGTTGTTCCAGGGATTTGAGTCACTTCACTCTGACAGTGTCTCAGCTCCAGGCTCCCTCCAGCTGCCAGTTGTCTTTTGTTTTTCATCCTGTGGAGGAGCTAACCTCCCTGTGGACAATTCTCAAAAAGAGGAGCACGTGGTTGACCTGTTTTCCTTGCTGATCTGAGGGGTGGGTTCTGAGAGCATTCTGTAGGCTCTGCAGTGGGTTCCAGGTGGCATCTAGTTGCTATGTCTTCAGTGGGCCGCTGGATGATGCATCTTTGCATTTGTCTTTCCTCCTTTGGCCACTCCTGCTCTCTGGAATTTCTTCCTCAATAAGCTACCTGAACACCCATCTTCTCAGGCTCTACTTTTAAGGATAAACCTGTCTTCTTCAATGATAATCTCTCCTTTTTATTGAGTTTGAGTATCACTGACCAGGGCCACTGACATCACTCTAGAAGGACAAGACCTTTTAGGAAGCTATTGCATGATCAGGGCAAATATGATCAGGGTATTGGTCCTATGTAAGGTAATACCAACTGGGAGAAAGCAAATGCCCTGGTTATTTTTTTTTAAGACTTATATTTGTATAATGCTTTATGAAACTTTTTTTTTTAAGAACATCTCTTTTTTTTTTCCTTTGATTTTATTTACATAAAGTTCTAAAACAGTCCAAACTAAATCCCAGTGTTGATAATCAGGCTAATAGTGACCTTCAGGAAGCAAGGGGCAGTATAGTTATCGAGAGTAGGCACAAGTCAAATCTCCTTGTAATACTTCTATGTTTATGTGAAGTAGGTAAGACAGGGGTTATTTTCATATTATAGATGAGGAAACTGAATTATGCAAAGTGTGAATGATTTTTAAGGTCAGATAGCAAGTAAGGCACAGCTCTGAAAAAGACTTTTCTACAGATCCCTAATAATGAAATATATGTTTTCCTATGAACCCACCAAAGCTAAGCTGCTTTCTGATAGCTTTCCCAAATTATATCTACTGCAGACTTTGAAAGAGGTCAGTAAATAATACCAAGTTTTTCACTCAAATTCTGAATCAAATGAGAAACAGGACAGAGAATTGGCAGATGAAAACCAAAATATCTGTGTTATTTTTCTGATAAACCTGAAATTCACAAGTGGGGGCTTATTAATTTAACTCCAGAACCAGAAAGACTTACTTAGTAGCCCTAAATGTAGTCCCACTGGTCACTATAAGAAAGGAAAAAGGAGCTGGACATCACATGTCAAGTTTTTCCTTAAAAACTCTTTAGGAAGATTAACTCAGTCACTCTGCCTCCATAGAGGGGAGAGTGAAAGAGTGGAGAGGTGCCAGGGATTTTATGTTAAATGGGAGGGAAATGGGAAATGTAGGAAACAGGGAACAAGCTATACCCCTAAACAATGCGATCACTCACTTATTCATTGATTAACAATGTCTACGGAGTAATCATAATGTTTAAGATACATACAGATATAGTAATAAGCAAGGCAGAATGTTCCCTGCCTCCTCCTCCTTGTTAGAATCTGAAATAGTCAAGTATTTCCTGCACAAAATCAAGTATTTACCAGCTTTTTTATAAGTCATAACAGATGATGGTAAAGTGGGCATCATCTAATATGAACGAATTAAACACTTCAGACTATGAGCTGCATGAAGTTGTACAGGTACAAATTTTTCTGTATTTATGATATTGGAAGAGATAATCTAATATCTGACTCTGAGTGACTCTCTCTTTAGCCTACAGAGAAATATTTACCACCCACTTTAATTGTCTGCATCACCATTCTTGCTTCAAAGTGGAATAGATATCTTACTATAACCCAAATCTCATTCCCTCACAGTTATAGAAGCATTGATTATCAATTTCTCTCCCTCTCTCTCATACACACACACACACACACACACACACACACACACACACCACTGATCCAACATGCCTATCTATCTAACCATTTTGTTTTTCATTCCCTTCAAAAGAAGTTTCTAAAAAGAGATGTTGGTCTAAAATCACACATTCCTCCTTCATCAATTTTGCCATTGTTTCATTACTCAACAGGTAAATAATTTGCTTTCTAAACCAGTCCATAAATCTTTTCTTTATTGTCATTTACCACAATCTCACAGCCACTCTGGGTAGTGACTGGTCTTCTGAATGTCCCATGCTGTGTCATGACTTTGTGTCTTTGTGCAAATAGTTCCCTTTCCATGAAAAGTCCCCATCTTCTTCTGTACCTTGTGGAGTCTTTACCTTTTTAAAAAGACTCAGCCTAAGCTTCATCTACAGATTTACTTATTTCTCAACTGAGAAAACTGATTTGTATTTGTGCTCCCTTAGAATTCTCTGAATATCTTTATAATGGCAAGTGATATATACTCCATTATAAGTACTCATTATTTATCTCTTTGCCTCCTTAAGATATGAGCTTCTTAAGAGCATAGACTTGTGTCATTGTCTTCCATACCCAAAGTCCAGCTCAGTGCCTTTCTCATAATAAGCTCAAACAAATGTTTGTAAAATGATCAAAGGAATGATTGCAAAAAATATACTCTGAGATGGTTGCATATAATGTTTTCATCAGATAGAATATACAGAAAGGGTTGTTGTAGGACAAATATGTTTGATTCAAAAATTGATCAATCTCCTTATCTAGTAACAATGGTGATCATACCTTTTAAACGAAGTAAAGAGGAGAGGGAAAATATTATTTATTAGAAGGCAGAGACTACATGTGCCTAATATATAGTATATTTTATCTATTATCATTGCTCACAGTGATGGTGGAGTAAACACACACACACAGTCAGACAGAGAGAGAGAAAGGGAGAGAGAAATATGAGCAAAAAAAGAAAGGACAGAAACAGAGATAAATATATTCAAGATTACAATAAAACCATTGATTCCATCAGAAATAGCCTTGAAAAAAGCATGGGAAGATTTGATGTGCACAAAGGAATGCAATTTAAGAGATAAGATTATGAAGCAAGGAGCAGTAAGTCTTAGGATCTATTGAAAATTATAAAGTTACTATGGAATGTTATGATTGTCTTGTGGGAAAATTTAAAAAACGCATCGTTTCTAAAGTAACAATCAATTTGATTAGGCAAGACAATTTTTCCACAATATAAGAATTCTCCTTTAAAAATGTCTTAAGGCTTTTTTGAGAAGAGTTTTACTGTAGGGTAATTAATAGGGTTTTTTGATGAGACCTATATTCATATCTCAGTTCCATTACTAATTGACAAATTGTGTTGCTTTGGGCAGGTTATCTTTTCTCCCTTGACCTCAGTTATTATTTATTCGATGGGGATAGTCTCTACCTGGAAAACTGGTTTCCAGATGTAGGAATATATGTGCTAATAGATGATCAGTAAATGGCAGTCATCACTAGAGTTACATTAGACATTGCAACCTTATGCATACTCACTATAGTGTTAACACACATGCCCATGTATAAATTTGTGAATAATTCCTATCTATTTATGTCTCCAGTTTTGCCGTGTCCCTGAGGTCCAGGTTCTTGTTACCAACTCCCTAATTATGATAAAGTCTCCATGAACATGAGACATGCTTAGAAGTAAACTCCGGTTTCCCTCTCGTAATTTGAAGCACCCGGGTTAAAGCTGCATATATTGTATCAGTGAATCAGATCTGGTCATATGTGAATGTGAGTCTAAAAAATAGAGTAAAAATAGAGAACAAGAATTGTGTGAACATTCATATTGAGGTGCAAGTTCAGTTGCAGGATGAGGGTGGAAAATTCTGGCCCTGATCGAGGCAGAAGTGTGCACACCTGCTTGTGACATGAGCACTGGTGAGTTAGCCAAGGCACTGGCATGGGAAAAGCTAGGAGGGAAAGCAATGCCTTTTTAGTAAACTACGTGGCTATGTAACCAAATTACTGTTTGCAGTGCTCTTTATTTAAGAACATCTTAATATGAACTATTAAGTGTTTTGAATGTTTATGTAAAAAGAACAATTGCTAACTCTCTGTTAACCACTCTCTTGCTTGTCTTAGCTCACTGCCTAGGGTCTCTAGTGCAATGTTGCAGGAGTGACAGTAGTACCATTCTCGTTCTATTTCTGATTTAAAAGGGAGTATTTTTAATATGACTGCATTTAGACTATTTATTGCAGTTTTCTGTGTATTCATAACCTTTGTCAGGTCAACCACTGTCTTTTTTAGAAACTACTTATTTATCAAAAATTCACCTGCCTACATGGAAACAAAGTAGTAGAAGAAATAATTTCTCTTTCAACAACATAAGTTTTTTCAATAACACAAAATGGAATGAACATTTTGTGTTGTTGAAATACTTATGTAATCAATACCTTGCAGACCAAAATGAGATGAATTCATGATTCATCTGCAACATATAAACAACTAAGACTAATAGTTTGGGTTTAAAAGGCTGAAAATTTCTGATGAGAAAAGGCATAAGCCCCTGAAATAAAATATTTTGCAATTCTAATTAGAGTCCAATTGCAGTAAATCCTTTAGTTGCAATTTTGTACTTGCATATATATTTCAGACTTACAAATATATTCAATTAATCCCTCAAGGAATCTTACTCTCTTCACTCCAAATCCAGCTTTAATATTTACAGAAATGACCCCAAATTATGTAAATATTAATGAACACCAAATTAAATATACTAACATTATAGGGTTATTCTTGAGAAAAGTCACTTTATTTTTATTTGGTTCGGTTAAATTAAGGTGTATGTTGTCAGTTCCTGCATGAAATTTATATTTAGTTTTTGTAAAACTTAGAGACTGAGTATAATTTAGTATTTTAAGTTATGATTGAGGTTCAATATTAATATAAGATAAACCTAAAAATATTAAGCAATTGAAAATGCAGGAATTAGGGAATAGGAGCATAGATTTCTCAGATTTGGTTCCTGGCTCTGGCCCTTCTTTGCTGTGTGGCTTTGGGTGAATAAATTAACCTCTCTGTGCTTCAGTTTTCTTTTCTGTAAAATTAAGATATTAATAATGCCCTCTTCTTAGAAGTAGTATGAGAATCTTAATGTGGTAATATAACAAAATGTCTTAGAACAGTGCTTGACATATATAAGCATTCTGTAAATTTTTACTATGGTCATCATCATCATCATCATCACCATCATCTCATGAAATAAGTGATAAATGATTCTTTGAGTATCTCAAATGTACTTCATGTTAACTTTTAATAAAACATCATATATGGTTGCTATAGGAATAGCATTTTGAATTCATGCCTTCAGTGCGTAAAATTTTAAGCATAAGTCTACATTATTATTATTCATTATCGTTAAAAATAAAACAAGGAAGGGACATAGGGCATGGGCTTTTCCTAACAAGTCTAGAGTGGTACCTATTGTCTTTACCAGCTATGATTTCTCTAAGCTATCAAAGGTGGGCACAATTGTATTTATATATGCTTCATAACTGGCAACACTATTATCTATCCTGCGTTAGTCTTCTTTTCGGAAAAATGCTCAAGTTCCCATTGCCATAACAACAGGCTGCTCTCTTTAAAACAAGATATGCTCTGAGTCAAAGTAAAATTGTTTCCATGGTAACTGCTACATATTTAAGTGCAGCAGCCTGGTTTTTAATCAGTCAAATTGTCCTTTGTCAAAAAGCAACATATATGGTTACTAATATAATTACATATATTTTAGAGTATGATAAATAAAGTAGAATAGATTATCACAAAAACAAAAACAAAATTGATTAATCCCTTTTCATAGTCAGTTTCTTGTTGGTAAAATAAAAACCCCCAATGTACATACATGTGCCAATCCATAGTATATCTCTAAATTGTAAAATGTTTCCATTTTATGTATATTTTACTACATTTAAATACAATCCTTATCACTAAAAATGAAAATATTCATGATCCATATCTGTTTTATTCTTTGTCTTTCATAAAAAATAATGTCCAACTATTTTACATATGTTTTAAGTTTCATAGTAATGCTTTTATCCTTTTGTTTCAGATAATCTTTTAACCAATGAGTTAGATAAATCATTTATTCCCTCATTAACTACAGCAGATTCAGAGTTGACTTGGTTATTCCCTTTATCACTTACCTACTTTCTGATGGTTCTTCTTAAGGTGGGAGTGAAATTGGTCATGACTGCTGTGTTTACATTATCTGTCCAGGAGAGAAAGGCCAACAGTTTCATTTAAGTGATATTCTAGTGAACTTTATTTCTTATTTACCATTGTGTTAAAGGGCACATTCTTTGTATTTAGATAGAACTGGGTTTAAGTCCTGCTCTGCAGTTTTTCTAGCTATGTGACTTTGGGCTTAGATGTTCTCATTTGTAAAGTGGAGTAAAAGCATACATTACGTATTGTTGTGAGAATTAGATGAGACAATGCATGTAGAAGGCTTCATGTGTATATTACCTTGCCTAACAATGCCTGGCACATAGAATGCACTCAATTGTTAATAGCGACCAGCATCATTAGTATTATCACCTTCATGAGTCTGACTTGAATACTAAAAGCATATGAAAAAGTTACTGATATGAGCATATATACAGCTCTTCAACATTGTTTTAACTTTCATTTAAAAAATATTATTTTTATAGTCTAATTAAAGATCTATATAAAATACAATTATAGAATATATATTATATGATAATATCTTATGAAAGTTTTTCAGCATTCTGGGATCAATGTTAAAATAGTTAATGTAAAGTTGTTTTAATCACCAATTGGTTTTTTGGTTCTTAGACTAAAGAACTCCAATTTTATTTTTCCCTCATAATTGTTATGGCAGCCAGCAGATCAGATAACTTTAGGCTGAGGTATATGTCAGATTTTTTAGGACAGTTCTGAATTTAGATGCCCTGTTTCATTGTTCCCATATGTATAGCTGCACCTGTCAGACACTGTGTCCTGATTTTTGTGTAAAAAATATTGTCACTATAACCGTGAGACTTGTACTGTCTCTGACTTTGGCATTGGCAGGTAATTCCAGTCAAGATTCCAGGTCTCAGAGTGCAGACGGCACCTCAGCAGGGTCCTTGTGCTGCTGCAAAACATGCTGGCGAAGTCCCATGATGCCAGCCGACCTGACAAGAAGCTTCAGAAGACAGCAGGTGGCTCTTGTTCATCTTTTCCTTGTTTGTTTTCATGGAAAGGGCAAAAAGGGCAGGGTGTTCAATACCTAAATAATTGACTGCCAACTCTTTGTTTTATTGTCCAGTTTTAACACCTACTATTAGGTCTGGTATTGCAAATTATGAATATTTCAGCCATTGTGGTATAAAATTTCATGAAGGAAGGCCCTCTCTATGCCAAGTGTGGCCTGTCCTGAAAGAAGAATTAAGATCAGAATGATTAGCCCTGAGAGATCATCCAGTTTAAATCCCTCATTTGATGGCTCTTGGTGAGAGATATGCCAGGCAGGGCTGAAGCCACATCCCTCTTTCTACTGGAATAGTGAAAGAGTGAGTTCACACTTTCAAAGGAATCTTTAGCTCATCACCTCTCTTCCAACTCTTCTGACTATGGAAAATTATTTGAAATTTTATTTAAAAAATCTATGGATCAATGTCTTCAAGAGGTTTGAGGGAAAACAAGGCAAACAGCAGACAAGATGAAAGGTGCTTGAAATTCAAGCATCCAGGAGAAAGTATTTGAACTTGGAATAGAACAGAGAAAGACTGTCTTAGTCTGCTTGTGCTACTATAGGAAAATACTCCAGACCCGGTAATTTATAAAGAACAGAAATTTATTTTTCACAGTCTGGAGGCTTGGGAGTTCTAGATGAAGGAAGTGGCAGGAAGTGGGGAAGGCCTGTTCCTCATAGAAGGAACTGTCTCGCCCCTACATTATGGAAGAGGCAGAACGGGTAAAAGGGGATAAATGCTGTGTCATGACATGGTAAAAGAAAGAGCAGAAAGGGCCAAAGGTAGTTTACTCCAGCCCCTTTGTGTGTGCTAATCCATTTATAAGGGTAGAGCCCTCAGGACTTAATCACTCGTCAAAAGGCCCCACCACTTAATACCACCACAATAGAGATTAGGCTCCAATATGAATTTTGGAGGGGGCATATTCAAACCATAGCAAGGACTCCATGAAATAGCAGAAAAATTGTTATTCTTGGATAAGCATAAAGAGAGAACAGGGTAGATTAAACAAAAACATTTGGAGTAAGTATCTGAGTCTGTAAAACCAGTTACCCAGTGTATTAGTTTCCTAGGATTGCCCTAACAAATGACCACAAACAGCAAAAGGCTTAAAACAGTAGAAATGTATTGACTGACAGTTTTGGAGTCTAGAAGTTTGAAAGAAAGGTGCTGGCAGGGACAGGCTCTGGGGGAGAATTTTTCCTTGTCTCTTCCTGGCTTCTGGTGGTTGACAGCAATCCTTGATATTCCTTGGCTTGTAGAGGCATCATTCCAACCTCTACCTCTGTCTTCTTCATAGAGTCAGCTTGACTCTATGCCTCTTCTGCTTTCCTGATTAGGACACGGTTATATTGGATCATGTCACACTCTGAGACTTCTGAGATTTCAGGATGATCATGAATTTTGAAGGGACAGCGTCCAATCTAGTACATCTGTTTTTCTTTTCCATACACCCACACCTTATCTGCAATATGGTAAAATACTGGGAAGAGCTGGCGACATTGCAGAGTACAAGCCAAAGGTTAGGGATTGCATCAGACAGTGATCTGGAGGAAGAAGTATGTCATGAAAATATAGAACCACAATTTGTATAATTGTGGACTGGCTGGTGGACTTGGGATATAAGCAGTAATAAATTAACAGTTTCATTGTACCTTATGGGACACACTATGCATAGAAGCAACACAGGCTTAGAGTAGGGAGGCTTGATTTGGGATTCTGGTTGGCAAGCTGATTCTTTAAACATTTTCATGGACAAATTAGGAATAAAATTTTACCCCATTTAATTACTGTGAGTATCAAATGAGATAACATTTACGTAAGGCATCCAGCCCAGGAATTTCCATGGTAATTCTTTTCTCTTTTTTTTATATGGGCATATTGATGCATTGGTGTGGTTCAATGTTAGGGATCTCTGCCTCCAGTGAGTAGAAGTTTATATTTATTCAATCTGGGTCAGAAACAAGACTTGCCTCTTTCAGCCATGTAGTAAGATTGAAAGAGAAATTACCTGATTTTTCAATTTTTTTTCTAGAAATGTTGTCTCCTTAGAGTAGAAAAATAAATGTATAAACTGTTCCATTAAGATGGATTTGACAAAAAAATTCTGAGAAGGCCTGTATAGGCTATATTATATTAACCAAATGTTCCACTACCTTGCAAGAATATAAATAGTTGATATGGCAATGCAAGCACATGGTATCTTTTACATCTGCTTGTGTATGAGCAGGTGTTCATAACCAAGGGTCTGCCATAAGCCATAGAATTTAGCTGTATTAAGATGCAGCTTCTTCAGATGTCTTTTTTATCCTATTACTCACTCTGAATTCTGGAAGCAAAGGATCTGTTCTGCATGGAACTGCTCCGCTCTCATCAAACTACTGAGTGGGCGGCTAGAGCAGTACATGTAAATAAATCTGGTAAACAGTGGTTAAAATTAGGACGTGACAACTACAATTTTTTTCTTTTTCATAGCTTCCCTTGGGCATTAATTAAATACAGCATTTTCCTTTGCAGAATTATTTTCTCCTTTGTTTTTACATATACAGACTATGAATGCAATAGATGGCAATATTAAATTCTGAGGACTATTTCTGAATAGCAGAATTGGGTCATACCCAGTCTGTGAAAGACACTGGTAAAACTGAAATCTTTTTCCACTAAAATGCAGATAAATCAAGATTGAGAATTACTTTGTTTGTGGGAGAGTTTCTTGTTTTCTAATGGGGAGTCAGAATTAGGGCATGTTGCCACTACTCCTCCTTGATGTATTTTCTTTTTTCTCTTTCTATTTGTCTTCTCTCTCTCAATCTCTCTGTCTCTGTGTCTCTCTCTCTAACTCATCTATCTACCTATCTGGTTAGCTATCTACATTATCTATCTACATCTATCATTTTCCTTTTTCCTTTCCTTTCCTTTCCTTCTTTCCCCCCCTTCTCCCTCCCTCTTTTCCCTCCTTCTTTCCTTCCTTCCTTCAATCTTTCATTCTTTCTTTCTTTTTAAAGTATTTTTCTTCCTTTTATTTCTCTTTTTTGAATGTAGATAGTTGAATTCTTCTATATAGAAGGTTTAAACTTTGTTTTTCTCATATATAAGAAGGACAACAAAAATTAAAAATAATATAAAATAGGTGCATATTAGATCTGGAAAAAACAACTTGTCTAATTTGTATTACCATAAAGGACATTTTCTTTCATAAAAAGGTATCATTGTTAATAGTAACGTTTAACTATTTCTATGAATTGACTTTAAACCTGTCTGTAAACATGTTGTTTAATATTTATTTCACAAATAACATATATTTATGCAAGAAATTCTGTTTTTTTTCAAAACAAGTGTTCGATTTTTTCATGCATAAAAGCATACACACAAACAACGCTCATTTTGATGAGTCCCTAAAATCCTTTTAGAAATGCCCTTACATCTAAAAATAATTATTAAGTGGCTGGTTTTATCCTTCCATCCATTTACTCTTTTAAAAAACATTTATTGACTATCTGCCATGTGCAAAATCTCTGACATGTTGCCTAGTGTTGTAGAAGCTACACAGATACAGTGACTTGTTTTCAAAAACATTAAATCTGCTGGTGGATATATAATGTACTAGCATATATTATCTATAATACAAGTATGAAAGTGTTCATGGTCAAAAAATGTAACACTATAAACAGCTAAAAAAAGTTCAGAGAGGTGTTTAGAATATGGAGATTTGACACAAATATTAGGATATAATTTTGTGGAAAAAAATCCATGAAGTGAATTTTAAATTTGTATCAATAAATAAGACCCATAAATCTGCATTACTTAAATATACAGAAAAAAATCAAAAATTGAATTTCAATTAATGCCTGGCTGAATATGTTGGGGTGAACCCTTGCAACGGTCTCTACATTGTGCTGGGGAATGAAAGCAGGTGCTGGATGACTGAATTACACCCTTTCACTCTAATTAGGAATATTTATTTTGAAATGCAATAGAATTAAGGTGAAACTGTATTAATTTTTGCTTTGCCATAGTAGTTTAGTCTAATTTAGAAAATGTTTATTCACATGTTGGTAAATGTTCTCTTAAGAATCAATTTGACTCAAAAAACCAAATATTCAGAAAACACTTATTTACATGTTGGTAAATTTTCTCTTAAGAATCCATTTGACTAAAAAAATAAACTTTTTTTCTGGTATTATTCCTATGTCTATGGCAAATTTGTTCTGGTAACAAGAGGTGTCTTGTATAGAAACCATTACAAAAACCAAAAGGGTGCTCTGAACACTTTGAGATCCACACTGCACTAATGATTCTAATGTTTCTAAAATGAAATGACATCTTTTCAGAGAGAATCACACACAAACACATGGATGCTTTGAGCCACCAACAGCTAAGGACAGGTCCTTTTTCTATGCTATGTTAATCACAGATTTTAAAATATTAATAACCTTTCTATCTCTGTCCTATTCCCCTCCTTACATACTCACTTCTCAAACTACCTCTGTCCAGCATGGGTGAGACAATCACTTATGCACATTTCATAATTGGCTGTAACAAAAGCAATTTCCAGAGTTAGATTGATCTTTGGTTTAGGCATAACTGGACCCGTGTTTCCTTTAATTATTATTTATAGGTAATGATAGAGGGTGATAATGATGGCAATATAAGTTTCAAACGTGGTTTGCCATTTATGAATATTTTCTCATTGAACTCTTTCAGTCATGAGATGTAAGAGAGTCAGATTATTTTGCAAATCATCCCTGTAAAAACAAAATCAAGATGTTTAATCAGCTGCCCATGTTCAATTATCAAACCAGTAGTAGGGCTGGGTTTGAAGCAAGATCTTACCTCTACAAATACTGTACTTTCCTCATTTCATCATACTGTTTGTATACTTTTCCTCTAATTCATGGCATATTTTAATTATTAGAGATATTATCTGTAACTATTTAAAATGTTTTGAATCAATAAAATTAGGCCAATGTAGATGAGTAAAATAATAATTTGTAGCTAAAATTATTTCAATGAAAAAGGTACTGTTGTTCTTTAAAGACAAAATAGTGATTTTTTTCTAGTACTGATGAAGATAACATGGTTGTTTCATTTTGCATGTAGTCTCAGAATTCATTTTGAATAGTAATGGCTAGATTTAACATCTGATTCTTCTGCACAATCTACAGCTAAACAAGTTTTCCCATTTTCTAATATGTTCCAGTAATAAAACTTGAGGAATTAACTAGTATTAGATGACTTATCTAAGATCATTCTTCAGATAAGATGAGATTTTTTTTTGTTTTTAAAACCTTGGAGCTTCTGCTTCACTGCTTAAGTCCCTGAACCATAAAATTTCCCTGCTGCTTAACTGGGCAAAGAGCTGTGATTTTTAAATGAAAGATCATGCTGTTTTGTGATGCTCAGCATTTGTAATTAATGCACCTACCATTGACAGTATATCTTTGTATAAAGGTTATTTTAATTGGGCAAATGTAAACAATTAAACCTTGATTTTACTAAATATAGTAAGTACATTGGCTACTTGAAAGTTAATGTAAGAAGAATCACCAGTACTTGAGTTTCCAATTTTTCCATTTGCATAGTTAAAACGTTTTGAACTAAGCTATTGGGCAAAATATTACATTGGGAAATTTTTTTCTTCTTAATGAAGATAGGAAGGCAGATTATATTAATAATACAAAACAGGTTGATGTGTTTGGATCGCATTCACTAAACTAGATCATTTGGACAATGTTACCTTATTTGATCTACTTAAACATTAGAAGAAACTTGCAGCTATGTTACAAGATTCAGTACAATAAAAAAGTTTGAGATGCCTGGACCTTGCAACATACTGTGAATGAGTTAGAATAATTAAATATAAATATTTTTGCTTCGGAGCATTTGGATTTATTTAATTTTAATTAAAAAGACATCTTTAATTATTTCTTTGGTACAAGAGAAAATATTCACACAGGGGGTTTCATTTTATACATACAGCTATTGTTTAATATGTTCTGTTTCAAGAGAAAATGAATGTATTTTCTTTTCATCCATCACGTGAAAAATATAATGCTTGATTGACCCATTTTTCCCTAAATATCTGTAAATATTTCTCAGCTGTATCCAGGAGATATTTAATCTGCATGATTTCTGATTTCACTCTTAGTGAATAAGCAATAAGTGAAAATACTTTTTAAATGAAAAGTATTAATTTATTATACTTAAGAAAAAATAAGCATTTGTCTTAGAGCACAGTCTTAGAGAAGGAAATTGAGGGGAAATTCAAGATGTTACAATAGGAACAGACAGCCTTGAGATTCCTGCAGTTCTACTGTGATTAAACCAAGCTCGGAGTATGCTTCTCAGATCTTCATTACCTCAGTGAAAGTAAGACTTAAAGTGCAAATATGGAACAATTAACATTGGTGAAAATAATGGCAAAATCCCCACAAATCTAGTATGATAATCAAAATGTGAATCAAGATCCATTTTAAATGTTATTACTAAGGATTATTTTTAAACATCTGTTAGCTCTTATAACACCCTACATGTGGTAGCATGGAAATGTTGACCAAGGCCTGGTTCCTGAAAAATTCCCAGTGTGATATTTATACTTACTAGGAAACATGTTCCAGGAGTAATGCCTGTAATAATGTCAGAATTTTACTAACATAAATTAAAGATGTAAATTAGTATAAGAATGTTAAAAAGCTCATTACATTACAATGAAAATCTTCTATGACTGTTGAGGTCAGTCTCTTCCATTTAGTTTTAATTAAATATATACTTGCAATGGGTGTAACAACTCTTACTGAATTTTCTGAGTAATCCAATCAATAAATTAAGTAAACGCATGGGCGGTGGGGGAAGAGTTTATTTGTTTCTAGTATTATATGAACCAGGATCCAGGTGATTACATAAATTTATTATATTTTAGTCAGTTACATGGTCTTGTGCCGATGTCTATTTTGTATACTAAATATTACTGTTGGCCAATTACACATAAGCAAGTCAATAACTTCTGGCTCACTACAGTGTATCCTAGAGCTTCCAGCGCTCCACAGTAAAGGACTTTCAGTGCACACGAGTGTGTGTGTGTGTGTGTGTGCACGTGCATAAAGGTTGGAGTCAATATTTTAAAATTATTATTTTAAGGAAATCCTAAAATTCATTTATTTGTTCCCCAGGTATTCTATTTTTATTGAGAGCCTACTACATTTAATGCAATGTGTTGGATACCGGGTACAGGGTAGATGGCAGCAAATAAAATAAATCTAGCTTCTGCCTCAAAGAATTTTCAGTATATATAAAAAGATGAACGTTGCAGAAATATAGGAAACCCAGTATATGATCCTATGTGAGTATATAGCAACTAAAAATAGACCTGTTCTTGGTAGAGATGCCAAGAAAGGATTCTGTGAACAAAATCTGTTTTTTAGACTGATACTTGGCAATGAGTAGGCAATTGCTATGTGAAATATGGGGAAAGATTTCTAAGCAAAGAAAAATTAAAAAAAGAGAGAGATTGTGATTTGTGGCATGTACTCAAGGAATTAAAAAGGTTAGTATGATTGGTTGGCATAAAAAGAACATAGGCTAGAATGAAGTTAAGATGTAATATGTTTACAATATGAAGAAAATGTAGTGAAAAAACTTAATAACTGAGAATGTTTATTTTTTATGCATCATATTATGACTATCTAATAAATATTAAATGTATACATAACTACCTATGATGCTTAAATAAATCTATTATTTATTTAGTTGATATTTTGAAATATGGGACTAATAGTAATTAACCTGTTATCTGTCATGTTCTCATGGTTTAAATTCCTAGTCCCCTACCATGGAGAGCAATCATTTAATTGAAAATATTTCCTTTAAACTGTATTTTCTAATATCTTTCCAGCTGTTTTCTTTCAGTCAGAATTTCTGTTAAAGTTTTTGAAAGTATAACTGAGAACTTTAACAAGTAGTCAAATAAATACTTAGTGATATGGCAAGCAGGGAAGAAATAAATCGAAGCCACTTTCACCCATCCAGTCACCTGCTGAAAGATGAATTATAGGTACAAAAACAAAAGAAATATGTGTTGCACCATTGGGTGATAAAAAAGAAATATGAAGGTAACAGAATAACTGGTCTTAGGACTATTTTATAATGGCTACTTTTTTTCTACCAATTTCCCTCCTCTTTTCTCCTTGTCAATCATGCTGGGTAACTACATTATAACCACAAATAAATATGTAACCAAAGGCAGTCGAACTAGAATTGTAGGTTAAAGTAAGGAGTAATGTATTATATAAGTTCCTGAATGTCATTGTTCTCTCCCATTACCTCAGTGGCAAATGGTATTCTTTTAGAATAATTATAAGTTAGCAGTTCATTGTACTCACTGTTTGCTGTTGAACACCAACTGCAGAGGGCTGAGCTGAACTCTGTCTCTATGGAACAGGAGAGGTTTCAGAATGTGAATGAGGCAAAAGAGGGCACCTTGAGATGTAATGACCATAGGGATTATAGCTGAACAAAATTCACAGCTCCCCAGTAAATAAATGCATTAATTTTAACTTAGTACATTTTTCAGTGGGGAGTCTCAAATCCTGGTGGAGTTACAGTATTTAAAATGATAAAACTAAAGACAATGGCAGGAATCTATGTCTTGCATTTATTTCATGTGGCTTCTTTCTTGGGAAGATAATTCCCCAAAGAAATTTTAAGTGTAGATCCTATAAATCTTTTTGATTTTAAGTTTGTTATTTTAAAATAAAAGTAAGTTAGATATGAATGGCTAGAGTACAATAAAAAGTAGAATTTTCTTGCACTAAATTGGGGTGATAGGTCTGGGACAAACTGCTAAAAGTGAAACAAAGGATTTACATTATTTATGAGAGCCTCAGAAAACTGTAGACTGGCTATTACCAACTAAAGGTATTATATTTACCCTTCTACAGTAAGCAGCTGTAATACTTCATGATATACATGAAGCAATTCATTTTGAGCATGAGTAAACTGACAACACAGGGCCTGGATCCTTGAGAGAGGGAGAATATGAGTTGATCTCCACAGACACCCTAGCTTATTGCCTGGAGCACCTTTCCAACCTTGACGCAGGGAAGTGGAGACCAAACAGAGAGCAGCAGATTTTCTGGGAAGAGGAAGCAAAGATCAGAGGCCGGGGTTGCTGAGGTCCAGGATTTATGGGATTTATGGGGTAGGGTACCAAAGATGAGTTAGCGTTGGAAAAAAAAAAAAGAGGGGGGGCCAGGATCCTGTAAAAAAAAGTTGCCTTAAGTGTCAGCCAAATAATAAGCTGTATGTGCCCATGATGGGATTCCATGAGTACTAGCAGAAGAAAACCCTAACCCTGCAGAAGGCTGTGAGATGAACAGGCATCTCAGAAGTCCAGTAGCACTGGAATATATGGGATTTCTGGCCAGCCAGAATGAAGAGATCATGGCGGAATATTTCATATATTCAAATGAGACCCAGGAAGTATCTTAAGACTAGAGCTACCTTAGTCTCAGGGTAAACGCTATCATAGATTTGACCTACAAAGCTTAAAACCAAGCCTTGTTTTTTTCTTAGTTATATGTTTTAATTTTATAAAAAGATTTGTAGTTTGAGTACATTTCTAACAAGTTAAATCATAATTCGCTTTATAGTTAAATAACTTATGTACAAAGATAATTTTTTCTAGTATAATTTTATTTTTTAAAAGAAGCAAAAATACTTTCTTTTCAGTGGATAAAATCCAATTTACATATAAACAGTAAAGACAATCATTTTAGTATAAATAAAAATCAAATACCATACTTTTTTGGAGCACTTTGACAGAATTATTCCTCAATCTTGATTTGTCTATGTGATTGAATAATATATGTGTGACTTTTTTTGTATTTGAAATAAACATCAGTAAAAGTCATTAGTAAATTCACTCACTGCCAGAACAAATCTCAACACTTTCTAATGGAAAAAAAAATGGATTCTCAGCAGAGTAGTACCCACAACTTCAATTTACCATAAGAAGTTACAAACATATACAAAAACAAGAAAGTAAAATGTATAACATGAAGAAAGATACAGTTGTTAGAAATTAACTCAGAAATGATAAGAATGTGAAAATAACATTATAAATATTGTCATAATTTAATGGGAAAGATGGCTACCATAGGTGAAGAAAAAACTGGGAGATTTCATTTGTGATATAGAACTAATAGAAAAACACCTAAATGGAAATTCTAAAACTACAAAACAACAACATATGATTTTATAAAGTCACTAGATAGGCCTAATATTGCAGAAGAAAAGATCCGGGAACTTAAAGACTGACCAATAGAAACTATCCAACTGAAATGGAGACGTATTTTAAAAAGAAAACTTCAGTACCATGTGGATTAATGTCAAGTGGTCTACCATTATAGTCTTAGAAGGAGAGGAAAAAGAAGTTGAGAAACAAAACTTATGTGAAGCAATGCTAGCCAAAATGTTTCCTAATATGATGGAAAATATGCTGAATATCTGCCCAAGCAGGATTAAAAAAAAAAAAAACCAAACTAAACTACATCAAAGTCAAATTATTGGAAAACAAAAGTAAAGAAAAGCTCTTGAGGCAGCTAGAGGGAAAAAATCATTTCATACAAAGAAACAATGACAAATCAATTGGCTTCTCTTTGAAAACAGTGCATGTCAGAAGACAGTGGTATAATATTTGTTAAGTGCTAAAAGAAAACAATTTTCAATTAGAATTCTATATCTATAAAAATATCTTTCAAAAATAAAGGGAAAATAAAAACATTTTTAGAATTTGTTACCAGCAAATCTGCACTACTGGTAATAAAATGTTAAATGAAGGTCTCTGGACCGAAGAAAAATTATGCTAGGTGAAAACTCATACCTATCAAAAAAAAAATAAAAATAAAAATCACAAAAAAATGGCAAATATGTGGACATATATGAAACCAATTTTCTTTCTTTTATTAATGCCTTCAAAATAATAAACTTTTTCACAAAATGTAGTATTGTAGTATTATAATACATATAGAAAATATGACAATAATAGGAAATGGAAAAAGGAATAAATGGAAGTATAATGTTGTAATGTTCTCATATTATACATGAAGTGGTATGACATCAGTTTAGAGTATTGTGTCACAAGTTAAGCTTGCATATTATTATTCCTAGAGAAACCCTATAACACATTTCCAACAGAAGTGGTCAAATGAAACACCAACACATATTCGACGCACCCAAAAGGAGGCAGAGAAGGAGGAACAAGTAAATAAAAAGATGAGATAAAAAGAGAACAAATAGCAAGATGATAAACTTCAACCCAATCATGTCAACAATTACATACAATATAAATAGGCTACATACTTTAATTAAAAGGCAAAGACTACAGGCTAGATAAAAGAAGTCAATCCTTCCATAAGCTGTTACAAGAGAAGTACTTTAAACACAAAGGCACCCACATATTAAAAGAATGGAAAATATATATATATATCATGGAGCCCAATCTTAAGACACCTGGAGTAGCTATATTGATATCAGATAAAACAGATTTCAAGAGAAAGTGTATTACCAGAGATAATGAGTGACATTTCATAGTGGTAAAATTCATCATGAAGATGTAAGTGCATTGAAGAAAGGTTGAGAAGTGCTGCAATAATACAAGAAGAAAAATAGAGTATTTTGTTTCCTTTTTATTTTAAAACTCAGGAGCATTTCTCACAATACCTACACCTATAACCAATATCAGTTTTAATAATCTCCATGGTTTTGTTTTAAGATGTTTTTGACTATGGAAAACATTTTGGTTGTGGGTACAATAGTTATTTCTCCATTCTTGCTCTCAGAATCCTAATTTTGTTTGGATGGTAATGTGGCCCATCCCAAAGGATAAATCATAATCAGTCTAAGTTAATTGGACTAATTCATTTTCTTTTTTTTAATGATGGAAATACTTATGAGCCTGTAGTTTCTCTTCAGGCAAATAGGATATAAGAAATAATCTGTTTCTGTGAAAATTTGTCTGCTTCAGTGAATATGAGTCACATAGGGAGAACTTTCTCTCATGCCGTTCATTCCCACCTGAAGTACTGCTGTATGAAGACATGATGTCTGAAAATGCAGGCATTTTGAGGTCATGAGTGAAGCCATTGCCAACTTTATCAGTGAAAAAAAAGCTGTAGAGTTTGGAGTGAATTAATTAAACTTGAAATGACCTTCCTCCAGACGTTTTGTGATAGATATTGAATGGCCTCCTTGTTTAAGGAATCCTTGAAAATCCTTGGGAATCCTGTAAAAACTTACAAAAACCTTAGAGATTGATATGACATATTTAAGAATAGCTCCCCAGAACATCTAGTTATATATTGGATTATGTAGTCAAAATGAAGAGCCTATGGAAATAATATATCTAGATGTGATATGTTCCATATATTCAAAGTTCAAAAAATATTAAGTAAAAAAATAAGTATTTTATTTGCACTGTTATAAATGTATAATATTTCAAATTCATTATTCTTATTGCATGTTTTCAAACAATGTCAAGTATTTATTAAAATGGCTACAAAAACTTTATTAATATTTATGCCTTTAAGAGTATACTATTTTCAGAATAATTTTAGCTTTATATTATCTACATTATTATAATTTTATAATGGACTTAATTAAACAGATTATTTAAATTGACTGGACTAAGATGTGACTTGTTAAAGACTGATGGCATGTGTCTAATAAGGCTCTTTTTTTGGCTTCCTTCTAACTGATCCTCAAATGGTGAGTCTGTCACTGTAAGCTCAACTGCCTTTCCCTGGGATCTTTTCTCTGTTATCTTAAATAAGTACTTCAGGCTTCAACTACCATTTGTTTTATTTCATACCATCATAAACTCCATGCTTAGTCATTTTCAATGAATGTGAAACAAACTAAAAATAAAAACTCTATTTTTCATCTTTGGCTTTTTCTTTTAAAATGTCTTTATTGTTTTACATCTTTTTCAACAATCTATTTTATACTGAGAAAAATATATCATAAAGAAGCCTCAAAACATATTAACTTATTTATTCACTCATTTATTAATTTTTATTAATTTATTTGACAAATAAAGAAGAGAGACATTATTCAAATTACATAGGATCATAAAACTATGCAAGAGAGTTTGAAATTTGAAATCTTAAAGGCAATAGGTTCATCAAAGTCTTTTAAGAAGGGAATGATAAAAATAAATTTTACACTTTGAAATACCCTTAAGAACAGAGGAAGGATGGACTGAAACCAGCAGACTGGAGACAATAATCACTTAGAAGATTGATGCATATGATGCATTAAGAGGGTAGACACCAAAACTGAATCATTGAAATGAGACAGAGACAGAGACACTATATTCAATAGATATTCGGGAGGTAGAATTGATTGGACTAGGAAATAGATTGAATGTGAATTGTCAGGGAGAGGACATTATTAAGGATGACTCTCTGGTTTGGTTCAGAGGAACATGTATTTACTTTTAGATAGATTGAGGTCAAAATGGATCTGAACTTCAGAAGAGGCATCTGGACTGAATTGCCTTCTTACAGCATTGTTGTTAAGAGCCCTGTCTTCTTGGCTGGCTCTGATAAATGATGAAGTGCCCTAGGACTCAGTACCATGCTTTTCAATCTTTGATCCTATCTGTCACACAGGTTTTTAAGCTGATGATTCTCAAATGTGTACTTCCATCTTGATAACTCCACTGATTTCCAAATTCACATGCTTGTTGTCTGTGATTTTCCAATTGGGCATCTCATATGCACTGTATATTTAACATGGCCAAAACAAAATTCGTAATGACCACTACTTTAATATATTCCTCCAAGCAATAGCATTTCCCCAGATGCTCAAACTCCAAACCCTAGACTTGTCTTTGATTCCTTCCATTTATTAATCTCCCATATCCAAGCTATTAGCAAAACATTTCATCTCTATTTAAAAAATAGATTGTCTCTTCATTTTTTCGCTATCTTCATTGTTACTTCTCAATTCCAAGTGAACACCTCTTCTTTCCTGAATTATTGTCATATCCTTCTTCCAGAACTTCTAGCTCTTACTCTTGCCCTTATACAGTCTATTCTTCAGTTAGCAGGCAAGTGTAATGTTGTCAAAATATATCTAATCATAAACATTTACATGATCTAAAACTTCCTTCACCTTCTCATTACACACTCAGAATGAATTCAAGTCTGAGTTACATATTTCATCTACCATTCCCCCTACTTCTTTATCTACAAATCCGAACTTCTTCAGCTTTCTGTTTCTCAACATGCCAAGTTCATAGCTCCATTAAGACTTTTGTATTTGGCGATTCCTTTACCTGGAATGCTTTGCCTCCCTTTCTTCTCCTGGTCAACAACTACTTACCATGAAAGTGTCAGCACAGTGCAACCTTTTTTGAGAGAGTGACCAGCCTTCTCTAGTCACTGTGGCATAAGAACGTGTTGGTTTATCTGCTTCATAGCACTTATAATATGATATTATCATTTTCCTTTATTTGTTTGCTTATTTATTTACTCTCTCCTCACACTAGCATGTGATAGCTGTGAGGTAAAGAATCTTGTCTTTCTTTTACCACTATTTCTAGCAGATGGTAAAATTCTTGGTACTCGATGAGCACACAATAGAAAGCTATTGAATGAAATAGCAAACTGCTGTATAAGAAGCAAGAGAAAAAGATGCATGGGCCTATAACACAAGGCATTTCAACATTTAATCGGAAAATAGGTGACAGTAGGCTGACAGTCAGGAGAACGCAGAAGGAACACATTCTTTTTTGCCCATATACATATTTCATCTACCATTCCTCCCACCAGTCACATGTAATACATGCAACAGTTTGACACATGGTACAATACATATTTTAATAAATGTATTAGGAAGAAGGAATTCAATAATAGCATTAGGTGATTATGTGCCACTATTTGAATGTCATAACTCCACAACAACACTATGAGGCACTTTTTTCATGTGCACTTTACTGATGGGAAAAGTAAGCTCAGAAATGTAAGTCACTTGCTCAAGTTGCATCCATATGAGTGGCACAGCCAGGGTTTTGGCCCTGTGGTCTGACTCAAAAGTATTTCATCCTTTTCAGTATTAGCTTTTTCTGACATTTTCCATAATGTTAAGGGCTTAAGAACAGACTTTAAATTTGATGATTGTGAGGTGTAGATATCTTCAGAGAAGGAAAGGTGGCTTTGTTGAAGTCGTGGTAATGCCTTTTTTATTCCAATAGGTAGAGAAGTGAAGAATTATCATCCGGGAAAGGTTGGCTGTCGAGGGATGGGAAACTCAACACAGTATCCAGAGATAAGCAAGCTGTTGCTGATGTGGTTAATTTTATTTGCTTTTTCTTTTAAGGTCAGATGGACTTGAGTACGTTAAATTCTTAGGAAGAAGTCAGAATGAAGGGGAAGAGGGGAAAATTTAAAGTACATAAGAGAGAGGGTAATTGGGAGTCAAAATGGATCTGAACTTCAGAAACCATACTATTAAAGGAGTGACATTAATAGTATGGTTGGGTCTTTGGTAGAAAAAAGAATGCTCCTCTACAGAAATAAGAGAAGGACATAAGAATACTATAGTGCTGTTAACAATTCATGAAAGCTAGGAGATGAGAATGCTAAGGCCATGACAAAAAAGTAGAGGTGATGCTCTGGGGAGATTAGATAGCAGTGGAAAATAAAGAGAGACGAGGAGGTGGATTACAGATTGGAGTAAAAACATTCTTCAGGGACTGGAAGCCACAGGGGCCAGGCACAGTGGGAATATTTTAAGCATAAGGCTAAATGGATGTGTTTGGTCACTTTAGGTTGAAGATCATATGTATCCAGTGAGACTGAGGTTATTTCCAAGAAAACTTCAGTTGGTTTTATAGAGAATTGACTGAACAATGTGATTTTGATGAGTTTATCAAAGTCTAAAATTGTGGTCTTTTATGTCCAGAAACTGGTGTTTATCTCTACAATTAATGATAATGAGCCCGGTATGAAAATAGATAGAGAGAGTTATCCATTTCTGGAACCTGGAATGCTCACATACACCATTGTTATTAGAGCTCAATGTGTAGGTATCAGGTAAAACTAATAAGGAGAAATACATAGGTTGGAAGTGGGGTGCTTAGGGACTTAAAGAAATAGCAGTATTTTAAAATAGCCATTGACAGGAAAAAACAGGAGACTTCACCAAATGTAAGTGAAGCATAGTTTATCAATAGTTTAGCTCAACCACGTTTCCAGAAAAAAAAATCCCAATTTTTGAATGATCTTTAATTGCTTCTGCAGTTAAATATGAATATACATTCTTAAAAATAATCACAAATTTTGCATTATTTTGTTATCTTTGTATTTGGACGGTATGCCCCAAGAGATATATATTACTTAAAAATTAGTGTCTTGCCTTAAAATGGTACAAATTAAATTTAAACCAAATCATACAGTACATTCATTGGAGAAGCTAATTATGTTACAATATTTTCTCAAGATTCACTTTGTGAAGCAAATATATATCTATAATATGTATAATATAATATATTAGATTATATATTATTACCTACAATATGTATATGTATTATATACATATTATAGATATGTAAATAATCACTTAATACATTATTTATAAAAAAACTTTGTATAATAAACATTTATTTTGAGTGGGTCATACATGCTATGGGAAATATTAACTAAAAGAATCTTTTTAACAATAGTTTTTCGTGTTTTCATACTGATTATTCATTTATCATTTATATTTCTAGTATATAGAAGTAAAGAAGGTGATATAAAAGTAATAAAATTATTCGACTTTCTTGAAAATGCAGTGAAAATGGCATTTTTGATATCAGAGTTATAGCACATTATATTTTAAGATATAATTTGCATTCAACCCACACAAAAGCTTTAGAAATCCATTCCATTTGAAAATTAATTATTCCTGTCCTCAATATAGCCTTTGACAAAGTAAGAAACAGTTGGATTCATTCTAATTTGCTTCAAGTAGTGGTAATTAGAGAGAGTGTGAAGAACAGCTCTCTGCTCAATTCTCTCTAATTATTATAAGACACATATTAAACCTCTTAGGAAAGCAAATGCTTTGAGTCCACTACCTCCAACACTCTGGAAATATAAAGTAACATACTCTTTCCCTGTTTCAGTTATTTAAAGAGAAATAGGTTACTGAGGAGCCATTGCAGATTTTCACGAGAACCATTTTAGATAGTCTTTTAAAAGTGAAAACATGGCATAGACTAAAACTCTCTGAAGATTTTCAGAAGTTTTCCTATCAAATCATATCCTATCTTGTTATTAGTGTGGCATTATGTGTGACATAATGTTCATTCCTGATTAATTTGGTGTCCAATCAGTCCAGCCTAGTGAAATAAGCTTGAATCTGGATTGTTCTATCATTTTTGTGCCCAATATTAGATCATGTGCAAATATGAGGACAATGTCTTCACCCTCTTCATGGCACCGGCACAGAAAAAGTCCAAGCCCTGTGACACTTTACTAGAGACTTCCCATCATGCTGACCAGGTGTTAATAGCCAGTTCTTACTGGGGCTTTTTGACAAATGCGTTCCAGGTTTGCCTAACACTGGATTGATTGTTCACCATTTTATCCATACTTACGTCTTAGAAGAGTCACAGCATGCTTCCGTAGTATTTGTGTAAGTGTGTGGACTACCCAATCAGTAATAGTAGTAAAAGATCACAAGTAAGAACTGAAGAGGCAGGAAATAGAGGTGGGATAAGGCGAGACTGGAAACTGGGCTTTAGGCTCCAATTACATAAGATATTACACAACAGTAACATTTTGGTAAGGGCTATTATATTTCCTTCTGGAATCAGGTAATTGTAGTAACAAGAATAATGGCCCTCCAAAGATGTCCTTGTACCAATTCCTAGTATCTGTGAATATGTTACCTTACATAGCAAAAAAGACTTTGCAGATATAATAAAACCATGGAACTTAAAGTAGCAAAATTATCCCAAATTATTTGGGTGGGCTTGATGAAATCCCATGAGCACTTGAAATCAGAGAATAGTCTCCACCTAGAAGAAGAAGACTGAAGAGAAATGCGACAGAAAGAGAATCAGAGCAATTCCAAGAATGAAAATGATTTGACATGCTAGCTCTGAGATGCAGGGCCCACTTGCAAGCATGTTTCCTTTAGGAGATAAGGAAGACCTCTAGCTGCCAGCCAGCAAGAAGATGGGGACCTCTATCCTGCAACCATAAGGAACTAGATTTTTATCAACAAACTGAATGAGCTAGGGAGCAGATTCTTCCCTAGAGCCTTTTGAGGAAAACCCTGCAAAGCAACATCATGACTTCAGCCTTGTGAAATCCAAAATAGAGGAACCAACTGTGTCAACAATAAACTTCAGACCTGCAGAACTGTGAGATCATACATTCATGTTGCTTAAAAGTGCTAAATGTGTGTAGCAACAATAAAAAACGACAAGTAATTAATATCATTGTTAATAATTTTTGTGTAAAGTTTGGTTAATTTTCTAGGTAAGCAAAATGACAATAGTGATTTCTTCAAGTAAATGTTTCACTTAAACTCATCAAATTGATTGGTTGTAATTTTAATGTTACCTGATTGCTAATCTAATCTTAATGTTTACCTGTGAAGAACGTTATATATGGACAATATCTGTCAGGCTTTAGTTCATGAGCAAGTGTTTTCACTTATCTCAAATTGTTATAGAAATAGAGGAATAGAAATTAAATACTTTGGTTTATTATGATCAGTTTTCACAAGTAAACACCAAATTGGAGTTAAAAGTGTTCTTCATTTAATATCAGGACATCTGGGTTCTTCAGTGACTTTGACTTAAATAAAGCAGTGTCCTTGAGCAACCCATTTATTCCCAGGATGAGTTTCATTGTCTGTGAAACAGAAGAATTCATAAAAATGATCTGCAGGACCCTTGCTAGCCCTGAGTCCTGTGGTTCTGGGAGCAGTGCACTGAGGGACAGGTGGAGATTAACTATAGGAGCTGGACATGGGGAGACAGTTCATATTTTATCTTTCTCAGAGAATTGTTATGAGGACAAAAATGATAACAAAAATAATTTTCTCTCTCTACCTGCAAGTGCTTTCCATCTGGGATTAGATCTGAATTCATTTGGGCTAGCCAGGTGCTCACTTACTATCCCATTGTCTTTTCTGGACTACACGTCCCTCCATATGTTGTATATCTTCCTTTAGGTTGGAAAAATGTTTAACTTTTGTTTAAAAATTGCAAAGCAAACACAAGTTTTGATATTATACTTCTGTCAGTCGTTCATTATTTCCAAATTGTCTATCTCTACATTGTTTTAAAAATATTTTAGGACATTTTGTTGCATTTAAAATATTTCTTTGTTTTATTCTGTTAATAACAACTGTGCTGAGCCAGGCATGGTAGTTGATAATATTTTTGGTTAGATAGCCATTTAATGTCTGTTTTAAGCAATTCCATTACTGGGTATATACCCAAGGGAATACAAATCATTCTACCATAAAGATACATGCATGTGTATGTTCTTTGCAGCTCTATTCACAATAGCAAAGACATGGAATCAATCTAAATGCCCATCGATGGTAGATTGGATAAAGAAAATGTGGTACGTATACAGCATGGAATATTATACTCCCACAAAAAAAAGAATGAGATCCATGTCATTTGCATTCGGAACATGGATGGAACTGGAGGCCGTTATTCTTAGCAAACTAATGCAGGAACAGAAAACCAAATACCACATGTTCTCACTTTTAAGTGGGAGATAAATGATAAGAACACATGGACACGAAGAGGGGAACAACACACCCTGGGGCCTACCTGAGGGTGGAGGGTGGGAGGAGAGAGAGGATCAGAAAAAAAACTATTGGTACTAGGCTTAGTACCTGGGTGACAAAATAATCTGTACAACAAAGCCACAAATTTACCCCTTAACCTAAAATAAAAGTATTTTTAAAAAATGCTCAGTTGCATTTCATCATCATATATATATTGCTACAAATGGGATTTGCATAACATTTATGCTATGAAAAAATAATAACTATGTTAAGTTAAACAAATGTAAGTAAAATTAAATGATCTCAAATGCCCGAGTCACTTCAATGTTTGAAAACTAAACAATTATAAAATGTTATTAATTAAATGAATATATTTTGTGTGATATAATAGGTTGCCTAGAGGGAGCAGGAAACTTTGTTGGACTCATTTGATTATGCAGTTGCTTAAGGCTGAGATGTCATGTTGCATAAGTTATATATATTAACATAAATATGAACCTAGAGGGGTGGATTTTTTTCTAAACATGGATTATAGCTGCCATGCCTGTGACTTGTTATTTTTTTTCCTTAGGATTGTGTGTGTGTGTGTGTGTATCTGTGAGAGAGTATGTTAAATTCGTATTATAGCTTTAGAGTATGCCACCTACAGCCTGATCTCTGTTGTGCTGTAGGGTATTAGGAAAGATCTTTTCCATGTTCTGGAAGGAGCAGCTTGGAGGACACCAGGCTACCATGAAATTCCGATGGCTGCACGCATCACCTTCTTAGTGGTTGACCTGGGCTTTCATTTGATATAAACATTCTTTAACTCCCTGCTAGCAAACTTTACATCTCATCTCTGTATGTAAAGGAGCGTCTCTTCTACACATAGCAAGTCCCCCTCCTGGACTTTAAAACCTATCCTTCTCACCTTTCACAATCCTCTCTCTACTTATTATTCATCCTTCCCCCCAGATTTTCATCCACTACCTGTCATCCAGATTTATCTAAAATGTTTACACATGCTCGAGTGTCTCATGTGTTTAAAACAATCATTTCATTCCCACTACTTTCCATGTATCACCTTCTCATAGCAAAATCCTTGAAACTTGTATGTGCAGTTTCTATTTCCCCATTTCCTACTATCTCCTTAATCTACTTCATTATAACTTCTAATAGCACCAGTTGCTTTTAAGAGGCTAAAATGCATGGGAAATTTTCCAGGACTTATTTTAATAGACCTCTCAGTAGTTTGGGACACTGTTGACCATTCATTGCTTATTGATTGCTCAAAGGGTATAATCTTTTAGTTATAAGATGAATACGTTTTGAAATCTAAGGTATAGCATGGTGACTATAGTTAACAATACCTGAAATATGCTAAGAGAATAGATATTATACAGTATAGCATGGTGACTATAGTTAACAATACCTGAAATTTGCTAAGAGAATAGATATTATACAGTATAGCATGGTGACTATAGTTAACAATACCTGAAATTTGCTAAGAGAATAGATATTGCATGTTCTCACTACAAAGCAAACAAAAAAAGGTAATCAGGTGAAATGATAAATGTATTAACTAGCTTGATAGTGGTAATCATTTCACAATATATTTGTGTATGAAATCATCATTGTACACCTTAAACTTATAAATTGTATTTATCAACAATGCCTCAATAAAGCTGATTAAAAAAGGAAAAAGAAATTCTCTTCCCTTGGCTTTAGATATCACACAGTCTAGTTTTTTTCCCGTCTTTCTGGCTGCTTTGTACCTTTCACTGATTAATGCAAATGTTGGAATTTCTCAAAGGTTTATTCTAAGCTCTCTATATTTTCTTCCTCTGTATTCTCCCTACCTAAGACTTCAGTGAAACATGCAGTCTCCCCATGGATGCTTCAAAGGTTTGTCAAACTCAGCAGGTCTGTGACTGAACCCATAATCTTCCTGCCCACACCAGGTCCTTGACTTTCTCCCACCTTCTCACACCTGTCCTGTGACAAATCTGTCACTGAATCCTGTGGATTCTCCCTCCTAAATATCTTTTTGAGTCTGCAAACTTGTATATTTCTATGGAATGCACCCTAGTCCGAGCCAACTCTCTCTCTCTCTATGTTAGCATCCTGACAGGCCTCCCTCATCCATCATGCCCACCTTTCCATTCCTGTATATATCTCAGCCAAGGTGCATTTTCAAAATACACAACTTGGCCCTTTTTATCTGACTCTTTAATCATTCTCATTGCAGAGCAAAAAAGTTAAAAATAAAAACAAGCAAACAAACAAAAACTGAAATCCTCCACAACTTTAAATATAGTTAAAAACAAAACAAAATATCTCTCTATGGCCCGATCCTTGCTTTCTGTCTAGGCTTTTTTCTTCTATGACTCCACCTCCTGGTCTTCTGGCCGCCAGTCGTATTGTCCCTCTGTGAACTTCTGGAATGGGCCATTTTCCCTGCAACACCATGGTGTGCATGTTGTTTTATCTGTTGCCTCCTTTCTCCCTGTAGGTAACTCCTTCTTACTCTGAGGTCTGAGGTCAAAATCTCTTCCTCATTATGCTGTTATAGCATAATTTATTTTGCATTTTTATGTTTTCTTCTCTTCATTTGGTCAGATACTTATCTCAGTTTGTATATATGCATTTGTTAATGTGATGCTTGGAATAATTTCCCACTGCCACTGGCTTGCCAGACCCCTAAAATTTGAAAATATATCACTATTTTGCTTTTAGTTCCTAGGTGACCCGTAAATGTTTCTTTTACATTGAATGAATGATTCTTGTCATCCTTAAGCTATAACCCACATGCAAGTTCCTTCACACCTTTGCAGTACCTTCATTTACGTTTCCAAACCTTCCTACCCGACATCCTCCTAGCACTAACTCCCCACTTACCCTTAACACTTTGTCCTCATTAACTTGTATTTCCAAGAAATATTATCATCCTCTTAACCTCTTCAAAAAATTATTTTACCTATTTGCCTTATCACTAATTCTCATGTACCTTGGGGCTGGAATCAGCAATGAATAGTTTTAGTAAAGTCAAGATAGCCCACTCTAAAATACAGCTTTTCTAGCCCTCTGTAAAATTCTCTACTCCTTTAATGAATGATAACCAGCTAAAACACCTTCTAGCCTTTCCCACTGTTATTATCTATTAACATCCCGGGTCATTCTCCAACATTTTCCAAAGGCTTTGCCTTCTATTAACTTATACATTCATTTAAAATAGTTAAAATGATGCTAGGCATGGTGGCTCGTGCCTACAATCCCAGCACTTTGGGAGGCCATGGTGGGAGTTTTTTTAGAGCCTAGGAGTTTCAGACTAACCTGGGCAACATCGCAAGACCCAGTCTTTTATTTTATTTTTTAAATTTTATTTATATGTTATGTATTTATATTTATTTTTTATTTTTGTAAAGATGTAGTAATTTTCTGATGCTGAAGGGGTTAGGCAGTAAATAATGCAAGGTGGCCAGACAGAGACTGAGGTGAGTATGCAGTTTAGAATGTTTGGATGGTCTAGAAAAGCCTATGAAGAGAGGCTATCAATTTTTATATTCATAATTGTGTAAAGTGGTGAAGTTTAAAAGGCTGAACCCTAGCTTTTGAGTTTCCAGATGACCTTAAGGAGGGACGACAGGGCTCTGATAGATGCACCTCAGGTTAGAGAGCTTCTCTTGTTATAATTTTGCCCTATGCTTCTTTATTGTTTGTCTTCTCCCCAACTCTCCAACTGCCACACACACACAGAGGAACACAGACTGGGTTGACACCCTACCTCACTCACTTATCTTTGTGTCTTTGAAATTATCTAATCTTTGGGGGAATGACAGGGGTGAGAAGGAAAGTTCAGGTACTACTTAGTTCTAAATTCTGTTGGCTCAGAATAGACAATGATCTGTCATGAGCCAAGTGGCTCTCTAGAAACCCTGCCCCATTTACCCGCCTTCCAAAGTGCCTGACCTTCTGCTTCTGTGCCTCCCACCCCATACACAACAGATATACCACCACCTCTGCCTCCCCAACAGTTTGCCACAGTTTAGTGTGTGTGTGTGTGTGTGTGTATGTGTGTCAGAGAGAGACAGAGAGACAGTTCTATGATTAAGTATGCCCACTTTTGTTCCTCTGATATTTCTAGAGTTGAATCAGAGTAGAAGCCGCCAACCTATATCGAGTTCACTTTCTACTTTTGAAAGAAAAACCCACCAGTTACCTAATTGCCAACAACAATTAAAAAACCTTGTTTCAATTTTTACCTGATGCCTTGGTAAGATTTAATTCTGCTGACCACTCTACTACTTGCAACTATCCTTTCTTACAGAGTTTACTGCCTGATTCTCCCCTAAATGGCCTCTGAAAAATGGTCCCTCCTATGTGTTTCAAGATAAACTGTAGTGCCTTAAATGCAGTCTATGAGATTTTATTGTTCTCTCTCTATCAGGGAAGATTCGTCCTTCGCCACTGAGCTGGGACCCCTGGTGCAGCCTATCTGAGTCATTAGTCACCAATATGTGCCCCGTGTCAGTCTCTTTCATGTTTATCATGTTTTTACACATTCTGTTTCCTCTACTGGAAATGTCCTCTGTCCCACCTCCTTTCCTCTTTCCAAGCTTCTCAGTAAACTGCTTTTTCCTCTGGGGAAAAATAAAAGAGAAAACAAAAACAAAAACAAAAACAAAAAATGGAAAAACAAAGAACAACATTACTGGCATTGTCTAGTATGTCAGAATCCTCTCCCTTGTTTCTATATTTTGATTTCATCATTTTTTTGTCGCTCTAATGTTGGATTTACGCCTCTCCTCATGTCCCCTCTGCCTAATCTGTGAGCCGCTGCATGGCATAGACTTTGGTCCTTCAAAAATTTTTGTTATACACTAGTCAGTTAAGAAACCTGTTACATTAGGCCAGGCGCGGTGGCTCACGCCTGTACTCCCAGCACTTTGGGAGGCTGAGGCGGGCGGATCACTTGAGGTCAGGAGTTCAAGGCCAGCCTGGCGAACATGGTGAAGCCCTGTCTCTACTAAAAGTACAAAAATTAGCTGGGCGTGGCAACACATGCCCGTAGTCCCAGCTACTTGGGAGGCTGAGGCAGGAGGATCACTCGAACCCAGGAGGCAAAGGCAAAGGTTGCAGTGAGCCACTACACTCCAGCCTGGGCAACAGAGTGAGACTCTTTCAAAAGAAACAAAGAAAGAAAGAAAGACAGAAAGACGGAAGGAAGGAAGGAAGGAGAAAGAAAGAAAGATGTTACATTAATAAACCTGAAGCACAATAAATATTTGCTGTGAACTAGATCTTCACAGAAATAAACAGTGGGTTTATTGCTAAAAATTTTCAGAGAAAAATTAATATGATTTTTTTCTTTGTTAAATTTTTAGTGAGTAAACAACAATGTTGCCAGCTTTCTACTGGACTAGAGCAATAAATTACTGATTTTCTAGAGGCATAGATATTGATAGACCAAGAAAATTAAGTGTCTTTGTGGAACATTAGTTTATTTTAATGGAAAATATTTGCTAAACTTATGGATTTTATATTATATATTTCGATACCATTTAAACAGTTTAAAATTAAATGAAGTTTGAGCATATTTGTATAATTGCACAAAACAGAAAAATCAACAAAAAATGAACATATCTGACTTTCAGCTATCTCTTTCCTTTTTTGAGATCACAAAAGTAATTTGGAGGATGATAATCAAGATGCTTAAAGCACCACAAAGGAGATAATTCATTTCTACACAATTATACTACTTCCAAAATGCCTTTGGGTTTGAAAATAAGGTTAATAAAAGGAAAGTCTTTCCTGTAAGTCAGCTATAAAACCAGAACATACACTCGTCCTCTACCAAGGTGAAAGAAATACAACTGCTCTAGGGAACTGTAAAAGAGCCTTAAAGTAAAAACAAACAAACAAAAGTCACTTCATGTCCTTTGCAGGGACATGGATGGAATTGGAAATCATCATTCTCAGTAAACTATCGCAAGAACAAAAAACCAAACACCGCATATTCTCACTCATAGGTGGGAATTGAACAATGAGATCACATGGACACATGAAGGGGAATATCACACTCTGGGGACTGTGGTGGGGTCGGGGGAGCGGGGAGGGATAGCATTGGGAGATATACCTAATGCTAGATGACGAGTTAGTGGGTGCAGTGCACCAGCATGGCACATGTATACATATGTAACTAACCTGCACAATGTGCACATGTACCCTAAAACTTAAAGTATAATAAAAAAAAAGAAAGAAAAAAACAAAACAAAACAAACAAACAAAAAAAACAAGTGTGAAAGTTGATAAAAAAAGACTAGTTTAAATCCTTTCCCTCTATCTACATAAAAACATTTCTTATTATTTTTCTTACAATTTATGACATATTAGTGCCTGCTAGTTCCATTCTGACATTCTGCACATTTTTTTTTAAGTAAAGGGCAATTTCTCTTTAATTAATGCCAAGAAGAATTACTTGCACATTAGAATTGATTCATGATTCATCAGTCATATTTTCTGAAAGACACTTATTTGATTAGAAGGTAAAAAAAAAATCAACCTTGTATAATTCCCGTTTCATTTGATATGTACTCTCTTCATGTTAGTGAGCCCAGCTATTTTTCCATAAAACTGCTCCCTCTTCAGTTCCTATTACTTTTCTGCATATTTGACAATTAATACTTTTTTTTTCTGCTACCTGCTGCTGAACTAATTTTCTTGCAGATTATGTTTGTTAGTCTCCTTCTATTTTTATCCCCCTGGAGAGTGGCTCATTGGTCTTTTATTTTTAACAAGCTTCACGTTCCTCTGTACAGTTCCAGTGTGGCATGTGAAGATGGGTACAAAAGCGAACTCGTTTAAAAATCTGGGTCCTGTTGCAAAACAACGATTATTTCCAAAATTTTGCAGGTTTTCATTTTCAAATTCTTGTCCCAGTTAGATAACAGGTCTATTCTGGTTATTCTGACTCTGAAAACTCAAGCATATTACTAAATAATGTTGTAGCTTTTATATTATAAGTGAAATATTATAAATCCTATTTGTCTAATTTATCTGTGGTGTTTTTCTACTCAACTTTATTTAATATTATTAAATTCTTATCTAATTATAGTGCAAGCAATCTGATTGCCAGAACTAAGACTGTGTGGGCATGTTTTTGGTAAACCTCTAAGCTCAAGGCCTTCTTATAAATCAACCAAAACATGATATATGGTAATATATCTTAGAATACCAATTCTCAGACCAAAAGTGAGCTATTTGGTTATTCTTATATAGAAATATAAACATGCCTTTCCTGTGCTTGTTTTAAATATCTCAAGATAAGCTAATGCTTGAGAGATAAGATTATTTTTATAAAAATATCTTTTTTCATGAAAGGCTGTTTTCTTTTTATTTCTGAAAGGCATGATCAGTTCTTTCCATTATTGTGATATACTGCTTCTTTTTCAAGATGCTCTCTAAGTCTCCTTCATATCTGTCATGCCTTTTTATCGAAAAGCTTCTGTAGCTATTTGGGGGCATATCTAAAGGTAATGTATGATAAAATTATAATGAAAAAGCCAAGTAATAAAAACGTGCAAGTTTATTTTGTTTAGCTGGTCTAATGCCACCCAGGCTAAGTTGCTGTATTTAAACTTCACACAAAATATTTAAAATTCTCTTGTTATTTTCATTGAGATATATTTAACATAAATAATGCGCAGATCTAACTGGTCAGAACAAAGAGCTTTGACAATGACATATGACCTGTAAACGCAACTTACAACAAGATTAACTTTCCATCTCCTGGGAAAGTCCCCTATGTTCCCTTCCAGTCAGTTCTGTTCTCCAGTGCTCCATCAACTATTATCAAATTGCCATCAGTTTAGAATAATTTTGTCTGTTTTTATATTTTGCAGAAACGAATCATTTAGTATGCACTCTTTTGTGTCTTGCTTTTTCTTTTTTTTCATGTAGAAATGTTTTATTTACACTGTATTACAAAATATCACATAAAGTCTTGTTGGTATTTGGATGGTTATACTGAATTTTAGATTTACTTAGAGACATTTGACTTTTTTTTATACATGTATTTTTTTATTATACTTTAAGTTCTAGGGTACCTGTGCACAATGTGCAGGTTTGTTACATATGTATACATGTGCCATATTGGTGTGCTGCACCCATTAACTCGTCATTTACATTAGGTATATCTCCTAATGCTATCCCTCCCCACTCCCCGCACCCCACAACAGGCCCAGAAAATCATTGTGCCTATCAGTAGTTCATTTTTTAAATTATTGAATAAAATTCCAATTTCTGTGTGTATTTGTGTATTTTTTCCTTTTGGATGCCTGGGTCATGGCATAGATGTATGGTGAATATCATAAATAAATAACAAACATTTCTCCAAAAATGTTGAATCATTTTATACTCCCATTATTTCAATAATGTATGAAATAACTGCTTGCTGCAAATCCTAACCAGTAGTTGCTTTTGTTAGTCATTTTGATTTAGTCATTCTAGTTGATGTGAAACTGTATGTCATTGTAGTTATAATTTGCATTTCTCTAACAAATGACATTAAACATATTTTTATGTGTTTATTGTCCATTCATAGATCTTCCTTTGTAAAGTATCTGTTCAAATCTTGTGCTCATTTTTTGCCACATTGTTCATTTGTAAATTTATTGATTTATAAACATTTTTCTATATTCTGGAAGCAAATGCTTTTGTCAGACATGTGTGCTGCAAATATTTTTCACAGTCTGTGTCTTTCATATAATTTTCTTATTGGCATTTTGATGAACAGGACAGAAATTTTAAATTTTAAAGACTTCTAATTTACCATTTTTTTTCCTTCAGAACTTATGTTTTGTTGTTGTTCTGTCCTAGAAATCTTTGTTCATAACAACAAAACATAAGTTCTGAAGGAAAAAAAAGGTAAATTAGAAGTCTTTAAAATTTAAAATTTCTGTCCTGTTGTTCTAAGAACATATTAAAAAGATTCCTTTACCTAATAAATTAACTTAGATCAGTTGTCCAGAGTCTATTTCTGGACTCCCTATTCCTTTTTATTATCTATTTGTCCATGTTTATACCAATAAAATACTATCTTTATTACCTAATTTGGTAGTAAGTCTTGAAATTAGGTATTATGAGTCCTTTAAATTTGATCTCCCTTTTTGTTTTCAAGGTTGTTTTGGCCATTCAAGCTGTTCAATATCCTTTTGCTTTCCCCCCAAAAAATTTTACAATAGGCTTGTTAGTTTACAAAATTTGCAAGAATCATTTTTTTAAGTCACAGACGTGATTCTTGCAAATACCATATATCTGAATCTTACCTTTTTTTCATTTCATGAAGTTTGACAATCTTCTGCTTGAAAATGAAGTGTTTAGTCTATTTCTCTTTAACGTAATTTGTAATATGATTGAGATTCAGTCCCCCATGAAGGTATTTTTTTTTTATAATTGGACCTTTTTTTTTATCTGTTATTCAATTTCTGCCTTATTCTGGTAAAATTTAAAATATTAATAATATTCAATTTTATCTTCTGCATTGGTGTTTGTGACTATGGCTCTTTGTATTAATTTGTAATGACTGCTCTACAGTACAGTGTAAAAACCTTATACAATTCCATTTACCACTCAACCCACAACTCTTGTGTTATTGTTGGCATGTATTTTACTGAAATATATGCTATAATGCTATAATACATTGTGGGTTTTTTGCTAGAATATTCAATAATCACCACAGTTTTTAAAGATATCTAATAAAGTATAAATATATGGTATATGTCAATATAATTTGTTATAAATATATTACATATACTTATATGTAAATGTAAACTTTTTACATTTATCCTATTTAGTTATTGGCAATAATTTGGTTATACTTTTAGACAACATTCATAAACTTTAATACTTCATTAAAATAGTAAATAATTGGAGGGTTTTTATTGTAGCTTGTACTGCTATTTCTATTTTACAAAGGCAGAAACTTGCCAAGATAATTGTTAGAGGGAAAACTTTTTTAAGAACCTATGTTTTTCTGACTCCTGGGACAATATGCATTTTATTCTACCATTGTGAAAGTGGCAAGAAAACTGATGGATAGAATAAGGTTTCCTCTTCATTGGCCATATAATCCATATTAAAGGCAGGCCTAACTTTGAATAGTTTGGAATGATTCTCCAACATACTAGTCAGCAAAAGCCCAGACTATGTTCCTGTCTCTGAGATCCACTCATCATCTACAACCTCATACATACTGTTTTATGCAAAAGCTTTTAAGTTAGAATGTTTAACACTAAACTACTTTTAAAGGATTAAAAATGATATCTTTATTTATAAGTAATATATGTCAGTAGTCTCACCTTCATTTTTATTTTGTAATCTGAGGTTCTGTCTGTCATTTGCATGTGAGGCCATTGCTGTTGGTTGGGTTTTTCAATAGGCATTGCAAACTCCTTCAACCCATGTTCCAAAATACCTTTCCTGCAGAGACTGGAAAAGCTTAAAGTTGCATTTTGTAAACCCACTTAGAGCTAGGAGTCTAGCTATGACTTAGATTCTACTACTCTGATATGGACTTGGATTTGGAACTGAGTCATGCCAGAGACGCTCAAAAATGGGGATCTATTTTGCTGCTGTGAAGCATAGTGTCATTGTCCTGGAGGAGACAAGTGTAGAGCCACTTCCAAATTTAACAGGCAGCTATCTGATCAAGTGGCCTGTGGGTCAGGGCAGAAAAAGTGTGGTTCTGAAGCCAGCAGTTTCTTAATTCTGTAGCCATCACAGGTGGTTGTTTTCTTGGCTGCAAAGTTTGACTTTATGAGTTATGCGTGATAACTCATTTTAGATTTTAAGAGCTCTTCTAAAGACTCGATAACCATTTCTTACTTCCTTAAACGACCTAAACTAACTATTTTACTTAGCAAAATCCGGAGCTCTGCAGGAAGTCTGGGATCACATTTATATGCAACCTGTTAGTAACTAAATGATACTAACAAAATTATACTGAGCCTGAAAACTTTGGAGACATTTCTAAAATGGTAACCATGAGAGGAATAAAAGTGAAAAGGAAAATGAGGAACTTTAAACTTGATGGAAATGGCATGAATAAACATATTGTTTTATATGTCAATAGATTTATATGACATTCTAAATCAAAGGTAGTGAAAACAAGAAAACTTTAAAAAAGTGAAATTCTTTCATTTGTTTTAATCAATAAAACATCTTCCTTTCATTGAGTGTATCAAATAGCTATTTTGTTCCTGGAAGACAGGACAAAATATTTTACCTGTTAAGTTGTTATGGGGAAAAAAAGTGGGAGGGAGGTGTTAAAACTAAAAACATTCAAATACAGATGTAGACTAGACTAACCTGACTCCTGGACTTGCTGAGTAATTTACCCGGAAAACTGACATTCTCTTTACACAACATCACTGTAAATGCCAGAAATGTGCAATGGCTATTTTCCTTTGGTTATTTGCTCAGTAGGCCCCAGATCACTAAGGGATATGTAGGCTCGTAGAAATGTGTAGGGACACAACAGGTGCTGGAGAGGATGTGGAGAAATAGGAACACTTTTACACTGTTGGTGGGACTGTAAACTAGTTCAACCATTGTGGAAGTCAGTGTGGCCATTCCTCAGGGATCTAGAACTAGAAATACCATTTGACCCAGCCATCCCATTACTGGGTATATACCCAAAAGACTATAAATCATGCTGCTATAAAGACACATGCACACGTATGTTTATTGCGGCATTATTCACAATAGCAAAGACTTGGAACCAACCCAAATGTCCAACAATGATAGACTGGATTAAGAAAATGTGGCACATATACACCATAGAATACTATGCAGCCATAAAAAAATGATGTGTTCATGTCCTTTGTAGGGACATGGATGAAATTGGAAATCATCATTCTCAGCAAACTATCGCAAGAACAAAAAACCAAACACCGCATATTCTCACTCATAGGTGGGAATTGAACAATGAGAACACATGGACACAGGAAGGGGAACATCACACTCTGGGGACTGTTGTGGGGTCGGGGGAGGCGGGAGGGATGGCATTGGGAGATATACCTAATGCTAGATGACGAGTTAGTGGGTGCAGCGCACCAGCATGGCACATGTATACATATGTAACTAACCTGCACATTGTGCACATGTACCCTAAAACTTAAAGTATAATAAAAAAAATATATAAATGTGTAGGGACTTGGGAAGTCATTCTTCTCTCATGTTTTCTCTTGTAATTTGTAAAACTCTGTAAATTGTGATATCATTTGCCATGAACTGTACATGTTGGTCTCTTTCTGCCATTTATAATACCACCCCATTGTGGCAACTAGCAGATGGACATATTTTAAATGGGCAAACACATTCTTTTCCAATTAAACTTCTTGTTTCTAAAAATTTATCAATTGTGTATATCTGCTATATTTTTATATTACTAACTTCAATTAAATATTAGCCAGCATTCTCTTCATATTTTCTGCTTCCTTCTTTGAATGAATTTCTACTCAACCTAAGTTGTGTTTCCTTAGAGTTATAAACATTTATGATTATCTTCATTGTTCCATAGTTCCTCAGCTATAATTGAACACTGAATTATGCATTAGAGACTGTTTTCCTTTTATAATGTAGATTTTCATTATTCAGTAATGTATTTTATTTTAGTTTTATGTATCTATAGATATAAAACTTTTAGAGTTGCATACCTGTATTTATATTGATTTTTATTATGCATACCTATTTAAAATTATCTGAAGTTTTCTCTTTTAGTCGTGGCTCTGCCAAATTTTGGTATCAGGATGAGTTTGGCTTCATAGAATGAGTTACGGAGGAGTCTCTCCTCAATTTTTTGGAATTGTTTCAGCAGGAATGTTACCAGCTCTTCTTCGTACATTCATCCGTATGAATGTGGCTGTGAATCTGTCTGATCCTGGGCAGCTCTTGGTTGGTAGGCTATTTATTACTGACTCAATTTCAGAGTTCATTATTGCTGTGTTCAGGGATTCAGTTTCTTCCTGGTTCAGTCTTGAGAGGGTGTTTGTGTCCAGGAATTTATTCATTTTTTTCTAGATTTTTTTCTAGATTAGTCGATGTGCATAGAGGTGTTCATAATATTATCTGATGGTTGTTTGTATTTTTGTGGGGTCAGCGATAATATCTCCTTGTCATTTCTGATTCTGTTTATTTGAATCTTCTCTCTTTTCTTTATTAGTCTAGCTAGGGGTCTATCTATTTTATTAATGTTTTCAAAAAAACAGCTCCTGGATTAGTTGATCTTTTGAATGGTTTTTGGTGTCTCAATCTCCTTCAGTTCAGGTTTGATTTTGGTTATTTCTTATCTTCTGCTAGTTTTGGGATTTTTTTGCTCTTCTTTCTCTAGTTCTTTTAGTTGTGATGCAAAAGTCCTCAGCAGAGTACTGGGAAACTGAATCTGGTAGCATATCGAAAAGGTTACCCACCACAACTAAGTAGGCTTTATCCCTGGGATGCAAGGTTGGTTCAGTTTATGCAAATCAATACATGTGATTCATCGCATAAATAGAACTAAAGACAAAGATCACGTGATTATCTCAATAGATGCAGAAAAGTCTTTTGATAAAATTCAACAGCCCTTCATGTTAAAAACTCTCAGTAAACTCAGTATTGAAGAAACATACCTCACAATAATAAGAACTGTTAATGACAAACCCAGAGCAAACATCATAGTGAATGGGCAAAAGTTGGAAGCGTTCCTCTTGAAAACCGGCACAAGACAAGGATGCCCTTTTTCTCTGCTCTTCTTCAACATAGTATTGGATGTCCTGGCCAGGGCAATCAGGCAAGGGAAGGAAATAAAGGGCATTCAGATAGGAAGAGAGGAAGTCAAACTTTCTCTGTTTGCAAACAACATAGTCCGTGTCTAGAAAAACCCATTTCTCAGCACAAAAGCTTCTTAAGCTGATAAACAACTTCAGCAAAATCTCAGGATACAAAATCAATGTGCAAAAATGACTAGCATTCTTCTACAACAATAGGCAAGCCAAGAACCAAATCAGGAATGCAATCCCATTCACAACTGCAACACACACACACACACACACACACACACACACACACACACACATACACACATGCAAAATACCTATGAATACAGCTAACTGGGAAGGTGAAAAATCTCTACAAGGAGAACTACAAAACACTGCTCAAAGAAATCAGAGATGACAAATGGAAAAACATTTCATGCTCATGGATAGGAAGGAAAAATATCGTTAAAATGGCTGTACTGCCCAAAGTATTTTACAGATTCAGTGGTATTCCTATTAAACTACCATTGACATTTGTCACAGAACTAGAAAAAACTATTTTAAAATTCATATGGAACCAAAACAAGAGCGTGAATAGCGAAGGCAATCCTAAGCAAAAACAGCAAAGCTGGAGGCATCACGCTGCTTGACTTCAGTAACCGAAACAGCATAGTGTTGGTACAAAAACAGACACATAGACCAATGGAACAGAATAGAGAACCTAGAAACAAGGCTGCATACCTACAACTATCTATCTTTGACAAACCTGTCAAAAACAAGCAATGGGGAAAGGATTCCCTATACAATAAATGGTGCTGGGATAACTGCTAGCCATATGCCAGACTAAAACTGGACCCCTTGCTTATACCATATACAAAAATTAACTGAAGATGGATTAAAGACTTAAATGTAAAACCCAAAACTATAAAAACCTTGGAAGACAACCTAGGCGATACCATTCTAGACATAAAAAGAGGCAAAAATTTCATGAGGAAGACATGAAAAGCAGTTGCAACAAATGCAAACATTGACAAAAGGGGTCTAATTACACTAAAAAGCTTCTTCACAGCAAAGAAAACTATCCATGGACTGTAAAGACAGCCTACAGAATGGGAGAAAATTTTTGTAAACTGTGCATCCGGCAAGGGTCCAATATCCAGTATTTATAAGCAACTTAAATGAATTACAAGAAAACAAACAAACAACCCTAATGAAAATTAGGCAAAAGGCATGAACTACTTTACTTTCGTGTTTTTTTTTTTTTTTTTTTTTTTTTTTTGAAACAGTCTCACTCTGTCACACAGGCTGGAGTGAGTGGTGTGATCTCGGCTCACTGCAACCTCCGTCTCCCAGGTTCAAGCAATTCTCATGCCTCAGCCACCTGACTAGCTAGGATTACAGGAATGTGCCATCACGCCTGAATAAAATTTTTGTATTTTTAGTAGAGAAAGGGTTTTGCCATGTTGGCCAAGTTGGTCTCAAACTCCTGGCCTCAAGTGATCTGCCCGCCTCGGCCTCCCAAAGTTCTGGGATTACAGGCATAAGCCACTGCACCCAATGACACTTTTCAAAAGAAGACATGCATGCAACCAACAGTCTTATGAAAAAAAAAAAAAGCTCAACATTACTAACCATTAGAGAAATGCAAACCAAAACCACAATGAGACACCATCTCACACCAGTTAGAATGACTATTATTAAAAAGGCAAAAAATAATAGACGCTGGTTTGGTTGTAAAGAAAAAGGGACATTTATCCATTGTTGTTGGGAGTGTAAACTGCTTAAAGCACTGTGGAAGACAGTGTTGTGATTCCTCAAGGACCTAAAAACGGAAATACCATTTGACCCAGCAATCTCATTACTGGGTATATATCCAAAGGAATATAAATTGTTCTGTTTTAAAGACAGATGAACACATATATTCTTTGCACTACTATTCAAAATAGGAAAGACATGGAATCAACCTAAATGCCCATCAATGATACACGGAAAGAAAATGTACATATACACCATGGAATACTATGCAGTCATAAAAAGTAATAAGATCATGTCCTTTGCAGGAACATGGATGGAGTTGGAGCCCATTATCCTTAGCAAACTAATGAAGGAACAGCAAAACAAATACCACATGTTCTCACTTATAAGTGGGAGCTGAATTATGAGAACACATGGACACAAAGAGTGGAACAACACAAACTGGAGCCTATCAGAGGAGGGAGGGTGGGAGGAGGGAGAAGATCAGGAGAAATAACTAATAGGTAGTAGGCCAAATACCTGAGTGAAGAAATAATCTGTAAAACAAACCCCATGACACAAGTTTACCTATGTAACAAACCTGCACTTGTACCCTGAACTTAAAATAAAAATAAAAAATATAATAAAATCATCTGCAGACTTTTTCTCATCTCATGTTCTTTCAGGTTTGGGGTGGCATTGAAAAATGAAACGATCTCTTGACTTTGCCTAGAGAATTTCACCAACTAAGCCTGGACCTTAGATTCTCCATGGGTCTTGCAGACAATGTAGAGTCTGTAAGGTGAACAGTGGGGATTGGGTCAGACTCATTCCCCAGGTGCACACCTCTTCATGTGCTCTACAGTTTATACAATCTCTTGTGCTGATACATGCTGATTACAATGGCTATGTGTTGTACAATTTAATGAATATTTAGTAATATATTTTTATTCAATATTTGTGTTTCTATTTCTTATTTCTACAAACAAAGCTTCGGTAAACTTTCTCATGCACCTCTTGTAAAGAACATGAGCAAGATTTTTCTTTATAGTGTAGGTATTGAGGCAGAAATACTAGGTTGTAGGATATGTGCTTCTTCATCTTTCCTAGGTTGTGGCAATTTCTCTTTAAAGTGCTTATACCATTTTGTATTCACATCAGCAACATATGTGTTTCTCTTTTCCTCTTGTTTTCAGTACTACTCGGTACCAGATTTTACAATCAAAGCTACAATAGAAAGGGTTTTTTTCAATCTCACTTTCGTTTTCTTTTGTGTTTCCATGATGCAAAACTGATAATTTTTTCATGTATGTTGAAAATTTAAGCTTATCTCTAGGAAGTGTCTACCCAAGTCTTTTGCCCTTTTTTCCTATTTTTTGTTATTAATTTGAAGAAATTATTGACATGTTCTGGGTATTATTTTTACTGTTGGTGTTTTGTTTTTTCATTGCGAATATCTTCTCCAAGTCGGTGGCTTAATATTCTACTTTATGATATCTTCTGTAATGCAGAAATTTTTGTTTCAAAATAAAGTGGCATATAATTTGTAGATTATGTGTCAATAAGCAAATTGTTTTCTGTTTCAATTTCATAAAGATAGGTTTTTTTTCTTCTAAGCATTTTCAAGTTTAGCTTTTCAAACTTTAATACACATGGGAATTACTGTTTGTTTATATGATATGAAAAAATGACCTAGTATTAATTTTTTATATGGATAACCACTTGTCTATGACCATCTATCACATAATCCCTCTTTTCTCACTGTTATATTCTAAGTGTGGATATTCTCTATCTAGATAGTATATCCCCCCTCAATTTGACAATATTTAATCCAAGGAATTTGCACATAAATTCTTAAGTGAGATTGTCATGTAATTTTCTTTGCTCAAATTGTTTGTCTGTTTTTGTTGTTGTTTTCTTCCTGTGCTGGATGCAGATCCAGACATCATCTTAGACCATGGAGAAAAGAAACAGAATTCTACAGTAAGCTGAAGCAGAGCCGCCCATAGCCTTAACCTGCTTGAACTTCCACCAGAGAAAGCACTATAGTTCTGCTTTGTTTGATCCCTATGTGGGGAGATCTTTTCTAATAACAGCTACAAAGCTAATCCTAAATAATACTTAGCTATATTCCATATTTTCTTGAGCTAGACTTGGTATTTTACATTTTTCTGGAAATTTTATATACATTTAAAAATTTTCAATTCATTGCAATAAGATTGTTCATAATAAACTCTTATGCTTTTTTAAAATCTTTACCCTAAAGCTGCATGCCATTTTGCAGACTTGATTTTATTCGTGACTTTGTCTCTTTTCCTTAATTAATTTTTGTTTTGAATTTGTCTTTTTAATAAACTAAATTTCATTTTATTAATCACTTCGATCAATTCTTTAATTTTGGTTACATTACTTTTTACTCTGACTTAAGAATTCCATTCATCTAATACTCTTTTAATCTAGTTTTATTTTATACTTTAATACTTTGATTATTTAACTAATTAGTTGTAAATCTTTTTAAAGATCTACATAACTTTATACATTTCTCTATAAACACCAATTTAGCTGCATTCCACACATTTAATCTCTAGTCTTTTATTTTATCGCAGAATAGTGCTTTCCCACATGTAAAACTTCCTTGTCATTTCTTGTAATGATGTACTCCAAGTACACTGCCCTATTTTCCACTCTAAGATCCTAACTTACTGCAGGTGGACCATCTTCAGCTCACTGCTTCTCACATGCCTAACATAAATGTTCCGATTTCATGTAAATATTAATACTTTCTCTAGCACCTAGAAGCTTATATAATGTCAAGATATGTACCTTGATATAGACACTCTAGCCCTGGAGAGGCCTCTCCTCTCCAACACATCCCCACTATGACAGTTCTTGAAATTATTGTCTCATTTTTTAGTTACTTCTTTTTGTCTTTTCTTAAACTATTTCCATTTCTTTTAAAGTCAGATATTGATTTTTTCCTAATATTTCTATTAAAGAGGGTACACATTATTGAAACTTATTGCTGTAAATGTAAGCATTAGATGTTTACTATAAGTATATATGGTACATTAAATTATTATTTTATGAGGTTGTTCTATGTAAAAACATTTCTTTTAAATTAGCAATCAACACATTTTTGGCAATACTTTTTGACATCGTCTATGATATCCATGTTTTTCTTCTACTTATTGATATGTGCACTATATAAATAGACATCCTAATATTAAACACATCTTTTATTCCTGGGATAAACGCTAGGTAGTCAACATGATGGTCGGACTGGATTTTCTTTAGGGTTGCCATAGTGGCATTTAACAGGTGTCATTGATGCATAGCTTTTATTTAAGGAATCATTCCTAATTTCTAGTTTCAGGACTAGATTCTGTAGCATAGAAAACTATAATGATATGTGTAAAACAATATAATCCAAAATTCTTTTAAGAAGGCAAATTATTGATAACTTACTCTATATCTTATGTAGTTATTAGACTTTAGTTTTCAAAGCTTTGGTTTGGGTAATTGATTTATCACAAAAATATAGAATTTTATATGTATTAACTATAATTATAAACGTGATTTTCTTATAAAAATCTCTGTATTGTTATAGTTCTTTTCTCATTTCCAATTTTTTTCATCTTGTTTACATTTTTACTATGTGTCCTAGAGATTGGTCTACTTTTATAATTTTCAAAAATTAATTGTAGCTTTTTTTAAACATATCCTATTATTTTTTGAATATCATCTCATTAGTTTTTGAAATCAGTCCTTAATGTTTTATCTCTTGTCGTACATTTTTTTCTTTATTGTTAATCTACCTAAAGAAAATTTAAACATGGAATACGCACCCCTACTTCCTCATCAATTTATGGTGGTATTATCTTAAACATGGGGTTTGGTTTTTTGTGGTAGGTTAATTCATATTTTAAGAATGAATGATTATATAGAAAAACACTTGAGTGACTAAGGTAGCTAACATTGGGAGTAAACCTATTAAACTTTAACAATATTTTTTAATACTCTAAAAGAAAGCAAGGACAACATCGTGCTAAATAAAGACAATGTCAGTGATGTTACACAATTTAAGTAAGGAACGTATCCTTCACTTGAGTAGGGTTTTCAAGTAGAAATTTCACTGTTTCTCTCTCTATTGTTTGTGGCACTCAGAATGAAGGTAAGGCAGAGAAGAGCAGAAATATTTTTGCATATTTGTCTTTGACCTTCAGTACAATGCCGATCTCCAATTTACCCTTTCCCTTTTCTTTTTTAATTTAGATAAAATATGAAGACAAAGTGAATTAGTAGTAAATTTGTCTTTGACCATGGCATCTATTCTCTTTGTTGCAATTAGTGTTTTAAATCTTTAGATGCAATTCCTTAGGAACAATCTGGAGTCATATCTCTTCCGGAAAAATCTGAAACTACTTGTGGAAAACTAGTAAATGTAGACTAATATTTCACGCCTTTATTACTATTATAGAGCTTTGCCAAAGATTACTTTAAACGAGTGTTCAATGATTAGAGGTGTGTAGACTTTAGCAGAGAAAAGGGAGGACTTTTCTGTGTAATGTCTCAGGAAGATCAATTTTCATCATGCCCTTTGTGTAGTCACCATTGAAATGGCTTCTGCAGAACATTTGAGGCCTATTTTTGTAGTAACTCTTACTTTTTACATCTCTGATGAGATGAAAATCATGTGATTTCAGTAAGAAATTTGCTTGGGGACATATTATAATAATATCCAATTATTGATGAATGCATTATATGTATTGGATCTCTGGGCCCCTGAGAGATGACAATGAATCAGATTCTTGCAGTGAAACCCTGAGTCCTTATTTTAGCACATTTCCCCCAGGTTATTCTGATACATAATCTTATTTCCTTTCCACTGCCTTAAAATAGCAAGTGTTTTACTCGTAATAGACATTTCTGTGGGATGAATAGAATGTAACTGTTTCTTAACTGTATGCAAAATGGAGTTTTGGAAAAAGTTTCATTCTCTAAGGCATTCGATGAAGTCCTAAAAGATTCACATCTTTGCTTCATTACATCATCTGGTAATAAGTATCTGGTAGGCACTTTTCTGGTCACATAAATATAGGCTCTGAAGATGTTCAGCTGATTTGCAAATATAATACATTTTAAATTCATGAAAAGAAAACTGTTTTGGTATATTGATGAATTTTAAAATGTCTTCAATCCCTCTTTAAAAATGATCTTCGTGATGTTAGCAACATGGTAGTTATAACTATAGAAGTGTAGTATTTCAATGATACTTTTGAGAACGACTCATTTTCTGCAAGTCTTTTAATAATCCACACTTACTTACAATGGTCAATGATCTCCACCTCAATGTCCCACGGAAGTGATATGCCAATTCTCAAGAGATAGGCCTCACTTCCAGTTGATGATGCCAACGAGATTTGACATAGTGGGGAGCAGCCCTTGCTCGTGTTGACAGAGATAGCCCTGCTGATTAAATAGCCTTCCAAGGCACTCCATAAATTCAGCCACACATCGTTGATACTGACACTCTCATTCTCTCACTAATTCTGTGATGCTGGGGAAGTCATGTATGTTTTGTATTTTTCAATTACTTATTTCTATGATGCAAAATTTGGGGAAGAATATGAAAATCATAATACACTTGACATTATATTAACATTTTACAAATCCTATTTTTTTTGTGATCTAGTGGCTATTTGTCACATGTTCAATGATCTGGTATCTTTTGAACATCCTTCCTATGGTTCCTAATCAGCGCCTTGTTCTCAAGTTAGAAGTGAGAACGCCATCTCTCAGGCTTCGTATTGGCTGGCTAGATTACCTTGGCTCTGCCAATCAGAAAAGTTTGGGAGACTTTGGATTTGGAAGTAAGCAATAGGGGGAAGTGCATACAGTGCAGAATGCATTCTTCCGTGGGGATGGAGGCAGAGTCCTGGGAACCTTGTATCCAGCCTTAAAGGTGTGAGCTGCCATGTTTGTGCTGAGCAGCAGAGGCAGTGATCATCTCACTGGAGCAATGCCCACATTGTGGCATGTATGCAGCTCCAACCTGCTGAGACTGACTCTACAGCTTTCTTAGAGATGAGCTTCCTAATATTTCTTAATTCATTTCCTAACGTAATTTAGAGTAGATTCTCATCTCCGTAACAAAGAACTCTGAACTCACGCATCCTCTCACACTTGTTAACTACTTTTTAGGCATTTTGTTTTCTTCCTGTTTTTTCAAAAACATCATTTTGTTCCCATTTCAGCACTCTTCATGGGATGTTCCATCTGCCTCAAATACAAATATTTTCAAGCTTGACTCTTCTCATCCTTTACACCTCTGCTCAAACACCACTCTCTCAAAGAAGCCATTCTCCTTATTCCTCTCCTTTCCAATCCAGTAATCTCTATCTCCATCTCTTGTTTCATTCATTTGTTTGTGTAGTTTCTTTTTTATTTTTTCATTTCAATAGGTTTTGGGGGAACAGGTGGTGTTTGGTTACATGAATAAATTCTTTAGTGGTGACTTCTGAGATTTTGGTGCACCCGTCACCTGAAAAGTGTATCCTGTACCCAATATGTAGTCTTTTATCCATTGCCACCCCTCACACGTTCCCCGAGACCCCAAAGTCCAATGTATCATTCTTATATGTTTGCATCCACATAGCTTAGCTCCCACATATGAGTGAGAACATATGATGTTTGTTTTTTCACTCCTGAGTTACTTCACTTAGAATAATAGTCTCAGTCTCCATTTCCATCCAGGTTGCTGCAAATGCCATTATTTTGTTCCATTTTATGGCTGAGTGTAGTCCATGTTATGTTTATCATGTTTTCTTTATCCACTCATTAGCTGATGGGCATTTGAGCTGGTTCCATATTTTTCCAATTGCAAACTGTGTTGCTATAAACATGTGTGTCCAAGTATCATTTTCATATAATGACTTATTTTCCTCTGGTAGATACCCAGGAGTGGGATTGCTGGATCAAACAGTAGAGCCACTTTTAGTTCTTTAAGGAGTCTCCACACTGTTTTCCATTGTGGTCGTACTAGTTTCCATTCCCACCAGCAGTGTAGAAGTATTCCCTTTTCACTGCATCCACGCCAACATCTATCATTTTTTGATTTTTTTATTATGGCCATTCTTATAGGAGTGAGGTGGTATCGCATTGTGGTTTTGATTTGTCCATGATGTTGAGCATTTTTACATATGCTTGTTGGCCATTTGTATATCTTCTTTTGAGAATTCTTTCATGTTTTCCTCACAGAATGAGGGCAGAATTTGTTTTTGTTTTCTTTACATAAACACTCTTAGAATCTGGAATAGAGAGCCAAACAAATAGTAAGCATTTGCTATTTGGGAACAAGTGAATAAAATGCTTAATATATTGCTTCTCTTTGAAAGCATCATGAAGATAGTATTAAGAACCACAGATGTGTATTTTGGCCTAATGGAGAAGAATGGACAAACTCAATGGAGAATTGAGCTAAAGGTAGAAAGAAAGGATATGGGAAAAAAATGAAGATTTCTCAAAGGGAAAAAAGGTGAAGCAAAGGGATGAAAGCAAATCATACTAATTTGAAGATCATCAAATATGCATTACTAACAACTCCATGCCTAGCACCTCATGAGAAACTGCAGAGGATACTTGGAAAATCTAAGAAGTCTACAATATTGTTCCTGCAATTTAATATTCTGGATTAGAGAAGAAGGAACATTTATGTAAAGGGAGAAATGGAAAACATAGAAAAGCATGAGTTACCTGCCAGACAAGGTGGCTAATGCTAGTTATCCCAGCACTTTGGGAGGCTGAGGCTGGCGGATTGCCTGAGCTCAGGAGTTCAAGACCAGCCTGGGCAATATGGCGAAACCCAATCTCAACAAAATATAAAAAATAAAAAAATTAGCCAGGCATGGTGGCGAATGCTTGTAGTCCCAGCTACTTGGGAGGCTGAGATGGGAGGGTCCCCTGAGCCTGGAAGGTGGAGGTTGCAGTAAGCTGAGATTGCACCACTGCACTCCAGCCTGAGTGACAGAGTGAGACCCTGTCTCAAAACAAACAAAACAAAACAAACAAAACAAAAAACCCCAAACAAATATGAGTTATGCAGTTCTAACATTTCTGGAAATGTTCCCCTAAGAGCTTACATTGCTCTGAGTGAAAAATCTGAAGCCATGCTTTGGAGATAAGTTCTTCATAAGCAGAAATAATTGTTTAGGATTTGTTTCCTCAAGTTCATTCCTATAAACGTGATGAAACACTAATAATTTTTTAGATAAAAGTAGTCTAAGTTTCAATATCTAATAGCAGAATACCAGTTAATCCCTAATACTGACAAACTTTCAAATTATGCCTCTTCAATCACTTTTCTAATTAGTCGGAGGACATCTTGAAGCACTATGATCATTTAGATTTTAATTGTCAGACAGTGCTGTGTACAGTTACTCCATATGTTTCTACCAAAAAAATATGAACAATTATGCCAAGATAGCAACTATAGTTTTGATGATGGTGGCTAATTGGGTAACTGGGCATGATTCAGTCTACTGCTTATCCAGTCAGAAGATAATTATCACATTTGCCACTATCTCATATGCATATTTATTTTTCTTCTTTCCAAAAAATTTTAGTGTGTAATAAGCAAATAAGTAAATAAGGTTTCTGTCTCAAGGAGAAATACACATTACCATTCAACTCACTTAAAATATATTCAGACATTGTAACAACATGCTAAGTGGATACATACACACACACACACACACACACATACATACTAGAAGTTATACAGTGTCACAATAACAAGAGCAGGCATTTATTGAGCTCATAATGTGTTGGGAACTCTTATCAGGGCTTTACCTATAGTAACACTTTTAATCCTCACAACTACTTTATGAGATAGGTGTTCTGTTACTCCCATGTTGCATATAAGAGCAAATGACTTGTTCAAGTTTAAACGATGAATGAGAAACAAAGCCAGGATTTTCACCCAAGAATCTTGCCACCGAAGCTGTGTTTTTAACCATCAGACAATACTGCCTTGCTAGTGGGAACAATATGGGGCTTTGAGTCAGATCAGTTCAAATTTAGGATAAAATTTTAGTGCTGATTGGGACTTTGAGAATATTCCTCAATGTCTCTCAAACTTAGGATCTTCATCAGTAATAAATAAGTAAATCAATGGAAATCATTAAACCAATCTACAATAATAGCTATTGTAAAGGGTTGCCACATTGCTTAAAAATGATGTAACATATATAAAAGTATTTGGTAAACTTGTCAGAAATAATTTCCTCTTCCTGATATACCTGTTCTTAGTGTGCTTGCATATTGGTTATAATCATCTTTCTCCAAAAGGCCCAGTTGGGACCTGTCTTCCTGCCTTTCTGCCTGAACACCCACCCCATCCACCCATCCACCCCTCAACCCAGCAATGTTTTTCCCTTTGATTTATATTATTGGAAGTAATCTGTGGAACTGAAAATAATTCCCAAAGTCAAGATTTATAACACTGCTGCAAAATGACTAAGAAGCATTAGATTTGATAACCCTATAGTCAGATTACCATTTTTCCCAGTTACTACTGATTACTGTGGCTTACTACTCTCATTTTTAATCCTTAAATAGACATCATGCGATTAAAAATAGTACTAACAACTGTACATATTCTATAACATGTTCTGATTTGTTTCAATTAATGTTATATGTATTTCTCCTTATCATTAAATATTGTCCTCACTACCTACCAACCAACCAACCAACACAAACAAATAAATAAGCAAAAGCAAATCTGAAAAAAAAGTAGTAACAGCTCATCACACCACATTACTCAGGAGACCAGAAACTGAGGCTATTTCAGTAAGTCTAATATGAATAAAGACTGGCCTCTACAGGTTCCAGTTTAGTAGAAAGTAGCGTATCTCATATTTCCTATCATTTCCAGTCACATGTCTGAGGTTTGGATTATGTTTTTCCACACAGGTGGAGTCAGGGCTCCTATGTGGTGTGACTTAAGTTGTGACCAAGACATAGTTCTTGCCTTTTTATTGTTTTACTTACATTCTCACAGTGCTTATTTCCCTTTATCTCCTTAATAAATACTCAGGTATAGTTGTATTAACAGATAAGTTTCAACCTACAAATAGAATTAAATAAACTACCAGACAACTATGCCATGTTATGAGTTATTTTGGTGAGAAAACATGATTTCTTAATAGGTGGCTGATAACATGTACTCTAGTGAAAACCAGGAGATAGAATAAAGTGGATACTTTGGAGCCCAAGTTACTGTATGGTGAGAGGAGATCATTGACATAGGACAGTGAGAATAATGGGTTACTGAGGGCAATGGAATAACGGGTTAAAAAGGGAAGTTGTTAAATATATGTCTGAGTTTGCTCCTGGACTTACTATTTTGTTACAATTTATTTTTGTATTTTTTTTCCCCAATATCACATGGTCAGAATACCATAGGGTAAAATAAGCCCTGAACTTAGGTAATTCGAGTCCTCTAACAGATAACTTATTTTGTCAATTATATGTTCAGGTGTTTTGCCTGCTTTTTACTCTGCCTTTGTCTTTTTATTGTTGATTTGTGTTAGTTATATATATTCTGGACAAAAATCTTTTGTTGGATGCTCCAATTGCAAACTTTTTTTCCCACTCCTTGGATTGCTTATTCATTTGTAAATGACGTCTTCAGATAAGGAGACTATTTTTTTCTGATCAAGTCAATGTATCAATTTTGTTATTTTCTACTGAGTACTGTTGTGTCTATTGAGAAATCTTTGCCTTTCTTAATGGCTTGAAGATATTCTCCTGTTATTCTTTTAGAAGCCTTATAGTTTTAGCTTCTGCATTTGGACCTATGACCTATCTTGAATCAGGCATTTACTGAAGAGAAGTGAAAATCCATATCAACATAGAATATTTAACAAGAAATTTCGTAGCAACCTTATTCATTATGGTCCCACAATGGAAGCAAATCAAATTACTGTTAGGTTGGTGCAAAAGTAATTGTGGTTTTTGCCATTACTTTCAAGAAGCAACCGAAAAACAAATTTTATTACTATATTCATAGAACGGAATATTGCTCCACCAATAAAAAAGTGAGTCATTGATACACTCAACAACTAGATGACTCTCATAAACATTAATTTGCACAAAATAAGCCAAACACAAAAGAATACATTTACATGATTCTATTTATTTGAAGTCTAAGAACAAAGAATTATTTGAGGGCAATAGAAATCAGCAAGTGGTTAACTCTGGGGCAGGTTCTTGTTTACCTGTAATGAGAAAGAGGGAAATTTCTGGGATGATAAAAATGTTCCATATTTTGTTTTGGATGGTGGTTACATGGTGCATACAATTGTCAATATCTGTCAAAATGAAAACTTCAAATCTGTACATTTTATTTTGTATTCCTTGTAAATAAATAATTTTAAAATACAGTAGTAGATGGACATTACAAGGAATAACAGCATTTTATCAACAGCAAACCAAAAGTCAGTAGTCATTTCCTAAATAATATCAATAGTGCCCCCTTGGAGTTGTACTGTCCACAAACTCTGTCTGTGCTCCGCAGCCATGGTAGCATACAAGTACGTAATTAGAGCAACATTACTGTGACTTGGTGTAATATACAAGTAGCCATTTAACAACAGCCAATATTTTTGATGTTTACTTTGTTTTAAATGCTTTGCAGATATTATTTCAATTAATTGATCATTAGACGCCAGCAGTGAATGTCATACTAACTGAGCACGTTGCTTTCTTTTTCCCCTGTTAAAGAGGTTAGTAATGTTAGCCCATGACTTTAAAAAGGGTAAAAGTCATCAAAAGCCAACACATATATGGGAAGATGGTAAAGAAGAAAGCGTAGGGGAGCAGAGATCACCAGAGATCATCCCCGTTTAAGCTCTCATGTGGGCTCTTTGGCTGTATCTAGAAACTAAATTGTCACCAGGCAGATTAACAAGAGGAAAGTATAGTTTTACATGTACGTGGAGTGAAGTCCAAAGAAGTGGCCAAAGCAAGATGCTTTTATAAGTTTTAGACAAAGAATGACAAATTTGAGAAGAAATGGCCCTAGGGGGAGCAAATTTTCTAGGGGAGTCAGGAAACATATGTGGGATATAAAGCTAGCAGAAAATAAGGGCCACTTGGTTAAGTATATTTATTCAGAGATATTGCAGCCCTCAATTCCCAGTCTCTGGTGATAAGGGCTATTTTCTCTTCCTGGTACTGTGAGTGTACTCCTTCCAGAGGAATCTTTAGGCTTGCTACATGTTGGAAGAGAGAGGTCAGCTAACCCTTTCTGAAACTACAATTTCTTCAATGTTTCAACTTGAAATAATCAATATAACAATCTGGCAAATTTTGAGATGTACATTCTTCACTCTTTCAAAAAGTATCCCTAGGAGATTAAAATACTACTGTTAGATTGTTTTAATACCCAGAACTCACTCTAGGCCAAAGTCTCCATAAAGAAGTGTATTTTCAGCATCCCATGAACAACTTCTATTATTTTCTGTAAAAATAAAATCACTTGCACAACTATCTGAAATACTACACTTCACTTTACCTGGGGACTTACCTTTTCCTAAGTGTCTGAGCTTTTTTGTGTGTTCAGTGCATGCTTGCTATGTTTCTGTGCAGATTGCTTGTGGTAAATCACTTATGTTTCACCATAAGCTTCTGTGTTAAGTACACTTATTTCTTCATTTAATGTAAGATGGAAATGAGACACAAATGGTAAGTAACTTCCTGAAGCCACACAGCTTATAAATAAAAGATCTGGCCTTAGAATCAATGTGGTTTGATGTCAGAGCCTGCACTTTGATCACTATACACTGTGACTTTATGCCCCTTCATTATTATGCTATTTGCCTCTAAAACATATGGACTTAATATGCGAATCACTCCTTATTACACTTTCATTTCTTTAAAAATGCACTCTGTCTTAATCCACAGGAATAAAAGTGCCACTCAGACAAGAATCTGCTAGTGGAGGAGGTGTTTTTATTCATTATCTAATCCCTTTCCTACAAATTATTCGTAGGCAGCCATTTTCTCCAACCATTAATTTAACAAGTATAGACTAAGCACTTACTCTGTGCTAGAAACCTAAATGGACTCTGAGAGCTCAAATGCTACCTAAGTACACTCCTAGAAAATAGTATCAAATTTCAGAAGGGTGATAAATATTTCCTAATACTCCTTTGATAGTGAAGATGGTGATTTCCTGGAAACAATTCAATTTTGCCTTAAAAATTGATGCAGCCAGTTCCACATTCCCCCAGTTAAAATTCCAAGCCATGAAGACTGCAAAACAGTCATCTACTTAGAATGAAAGTGAAATAAAAAGATCCAAGTACTTTCTGCATCTATTCTTGTGTCAGTTTCCTATTGCTGCTCTAGTAAATTACCACAAATTTACTGGCTTAAAACAACTCAGATTTTACAATTTGAAATGCAAACATCTGAAATGGCTCTCACAGAGCTAAAATGAAGGCACTGGCAGAGCTGTATTTCTTTTCTTCTGGAGACTACCAGGGAGAACCTCTTCCCTTGCTTTTTCCAGCTTCTAGAGGCTGCCTGGACCCTTGGCTCATGACCTCTTCCCCATTTAAAAGCCAACAGCAACATATTCAAATCTCCTTCGGACTCTGACCATCTTGTTTCCTTTTTATTTGTAAGGACTCCTGTGAATACAATGGAGTCACTGGGATAATTCCAGATAATCGTCCCATCTCAAAACACTTAATTTTATCAGTTCTGCAAAGTCTCTTTTTTATTTTTTCCATGTACAGGAACATAGTCATAGATTCTGGATGTTAGGACAAGGGTATCTTGGGGAGGGAGACATTTTCTGCTTACCACATTTGTGAAAATTGTCTTACGGTTATGTATTCCATAAAAAATTCTCTCTTTTGAGAATGTAATTTTCCATAAAATTATATATTTAATAGACAGGATATGTATTATTTTTTAAAGTAAATTACTTTTTAAATTTTCCCAATATCGTGTCATAAAGAACACCCTGAAAGCATTCTTAATTGGTACAGAAATTACTTCCAGAATGTATAAATAATAGACATGTATTTTTAATACCCTCTCTTCTTTCTCTTCCTCTCCCTCTCCACCTCCCCCGTCTCCCTCTTTGTTTCTCTCTCTTTTCCTCCCATCCCATCTCTCTTACACACACACGTATACCCACACAACTAAATTTCCTCTGCTTCTTACTAACAGCAAATGCACAACTATAAGGAAAATATCTGGTTCAGAAAATATATTTTTTTGCTTGGTATTAAATAGAAAGTGCTCATACAAGGAGAAACATATTTAACATGTCCGAGGGATTGCTTGAAGGGTGTGAAACATCCTTCCCAGGAGAAATAATCTCCTGGCTTAAACCAAATTGATGGCAGGAATTTGATGGGTTGGCTTACTCCTCTATTGCCTTTAGGACATAATGCAATGTGCTGGACTTGGCAGATGAGTCAGAAAGCAGTAGTTCACATAGAACTTGCTTCTGAGAGGCAGGAAAAAAATCCCTCTCTAACGGGTGCTTTGAAAGAGTTCCCTGAGCTATAACCTTGGTGGATGTTGGATTCAGGATCATTAACCACCCAAGATAAAAACAGTACATGGGAGGCAGTGTTCTCTGCATGTGTGGGTTGCAAATGGAACTAGTTGTTTACAATAGCTGCGGTTAAATGAGAACAAAGTTAAGTAGTGATTAGTCAACTATGCAACGCTCTGTCTTGCAAAGTACAACAAAGAAAATAACATCAATTTTCAAATTGGAAAATTATTCAAATTACACATATATACAATTCTCACGCCTGTAATCCCAGCACTTTGGGAGGCCGAGGCGGTAGGATCAGGAGGTCAGGAGTTCGAGACCAGCCTGGCCAACATGGTGAAACCCCATCTCTACTAAAAATACAAAAATTAGCCAGGCATGGTGGCGGGCACCTGTGATCCTAGCTACTCAGGAGGCTGAGGCAGGAGAATCGCTTGAACCTGGGAGGCAGAGGTTGCAGGGAGCCGAGATCATGCCATTGCACTCCAGCCTGGGCGATAAGAGCAAAACTCTGTCACACACACACACACACACACAAAAAAATTGCAGGTGAATTACTTAGAGTGATGAACAGAGAAAAGGAGAGGATTAGATTTCTGAATCTACTACTTAGTAGCTGGGTGACCTTGCACAAATAACTTAACCTCAGAGTGTTTCAGAGTGTCTACTTTTAAAGTGGGAATAAAATAATTTGCCTAGCCTACAATTCAATGTTATGAAGATTACTGTATACCTGAAAGAATACAAGAGAAATCACTTGATATGCTCTCAAGTAAAACAATTCAATACCAGCTTTGAAAACACACCAGTTTATTAGTTATTGCCAAGTAACAATTCGAGGTATGAACTAAGTAGTAACAAATGAAGGTGCATACTTTTAATCTTTTTCGTGTTGTTCAGCTTTACTATAGTCAGTATCCATTTACAGATGCAATCCAATGAGTTATGGCAGATGTATACACTTGTAAATCTACCGTTTCAGTCAACACAAAGAACATTTCCATTGCCACTGCTTAACAGCATCACAATAGATTAGTTTGAAATGTTTAGAATTGTATATCAATGGAATCATAAATTATATACTCATTGTGTCTATCTCCTTTTACTCTGTATAAAGTTTCTGAATTGTTTCATATGACAAAATGAATGTATCAGTGGTTTGTTTCTTTTAGTAGCTGAGCAGTATTTCATGGCATTGCATATTGTATTATGCTTGCTCATTACCTTTTGATCAACATTTGAATTGCTTTCAGTTTGGGACTATTACAAATAAAATTGCTAAAGACATTTTCATGAAAGTCTTTGTGTGGACAGAAGGTTTTTATTTCTTATGTAAATAGGAATGAAATTATTGGGTCATATGTAAATACATGTTTCCCTTTATGAGGAATTGCCAAAATATTTTGCAAAGTGATTTTACAATTTCACTTCCCGATCTGCAATGTAGTTGTTCCATATAATTGGCAACATTCATGCTTATGATTTTAAATTGTAACCATTTGAATATGTATGCAGTTGCATGTCATTAAGGTTTTACTTTACCTTGACGCTTTTGTCAACATCCAATTGACCATATGTGTGTGTGTTTATTTCTGAACTTTCAGTTTTGTTCTATTAATCTGTGTCTATCCCTTTGCTAAGTTTATCCTACTATGATTGCTTTAGCTTTATACTCAGTTTTAAAATAAGGTAAGGTGATTTTTTCCCCCATTGTTTTTCCTTCTAAAGATTGCTTTGGCTATTTTAGGTCATTTGCATTTCTGTAACTTTTATAATCAGATTGCCAAATTTTACAAAAACACTTGCTGGAATATTCATTAGATTTGTGTTACATCTACAGATTAATTTGGGGGTAAATTGACAACTTAACTATACTGAGTTTTTTGAATCATGATCATGCTTTACCTCTCCACTTACTTACATGCTTTTTTACTTCTTTTAGCAAAATTGTTTCGTTTGGCAAGTATTTTGTTAAAATACCTCTAATGTTTTTGAATGCTATTTTAAGCTGAAATGAGTTTTTTACTACATTTACAATTTTATTTTGCTATCATATAAAAATTTTTGTATCTTGTACTCTACGGCCTTGCTATATTCATTTATTATTTCTATTACCTCTTTCATAGGTTTCAGGGGGTGTTCTAGAAAAAAAAAATCATGCCATTTTTGAATAAAAGACTATTTTACCTCTTCCTTCCAATTTTAAGTTTTTTTTCTTTTAATTAAGGCTTTTTGCTTGTCTAATTGCATTGACTGAGATTTCCAGTGCAATGCTGAACATTGGGGGAAAGTGCAGACACAGTAGCCTTGTTTCCAATTCTAAGTAGAAAGCATTAACTTTTCCATTATTAAGTATGATGTTAGCTGTAATGTTTCTGTTTCCTTAATGATGTTGAGGAAAATTATTCTCTGTATAATTTATTCTGATATTTTATTGTGAATAATGACTTTTGTCATTCTTTTAATATTTATTTAGATTACTATATGCTTTTACTCCTGCTTTATTTGGTAATCTGAGTGAATTACATTGCTTGATTTTTATAAATGTGTTAAACCAACGTGGCATACCTGAGATAAACCTGGCATCATCATTGTATCTTATGCCTTTTATATACAACTAAATTCTATTTGCTAATTAACTTAAAAAAATCTTTGTATGTGTACTCCAGCAGGATATTGGCCCATAGTTTTCCTGCTTATAATATCATTTCTTTTCTATCAGACATAAATAGAGAGATAAATATTTATAGAAATAGAAATAAGCCAGGATTGGTATTTTATCATAAAATTACCACATTACAAAAAAATTTCTATGCCTTTCTCACTAGATTTTTATGGATCTCAAGAGTAGGATTCTTTTATCCCATAACTTAGTCGAATGACTTAAATTTGGCAGATTAAATTATTTCTTGGTAAATATAAAATTTTACCTCTCCCATGGAAAGAGTGTACCTCTTGCTCATTGATGTTGGGTTTGGTCATGTAATTTGCTTTGACCGATGGAATGTGGGAGGAAATGATAGGGCTGTGTGCCAGATTTAAGACTAAGCCTAAAAGAAATCATTTTTTGTTTCTGCTTGTTCCTTGAATGTTTCCAATCTTTGCGTTAGGAGAAGAACATGTCTCAGAGAGCTCCTACTCCTCCAGTTTTGGCCCCAGAATGAAACACAGGAAGAAGACCTGAATTTGATTTGCATTTCAAAGTAGAACTGTCCCAGCTGACATGAAGACTGATGAATAAGGAATAAGTATTTATTGTTGTATGTCACTGATATTTCTGTGGTCGATTATGTGTAGAAGAGCTGACTTGTACACTTACATAAACTTGAAGAAGACTGAATTTAGAAATGGAGTTTCTGCATATGGTTATGTCTGAGTAGCTCCAAGTGGATCATCCCTCCCACAGATAACAACTCTAAACTCTGGACAAAATATAAAAATAACAATTTCCTGAATATCAAAGAGCAACCCAAATCATGCAGATACTGGGTAAGTTTTATAGGAAATTTTTTATAGCTTAAGACTATGCAGCAGTCAGTATCATATGGCATGACTAAAACCTACATAGGGAGAAATGGTGTAGAGTATGAAAAGCAACTACCACAGCTAAAAGGTGAGGAGGAATATCCAAGAAGGAGAGAGCTAAAGAGAGGCTCCTGGTTTTTGTGGATACATGCCACCCAAATCTATGGTTCATCCCTGAACCAGAGTATGCACAGTAAATTTTATTACAATTTCACCTAGGAATAAAATAATTGAACTGAAATTTCATAGTTGAGGGTTTGAGAATGGCTAAGTTAACTACTTGCTATTATCAAAAATCAATACTCTTCAAAGAACATAAAGGAATCCAGAGTCTCTAAAACATATAATTCATAAAGTCCTAGATAGAACACATGAAAAAAATCACAATCTCACATGGAAACTGGAAAATATGATCCAATATCAAGAGAAAATGTAATCATTGGAGACTGACCCAGATATTGGAATAAGCAGATAAGAATATTAAAGCAGCCATATAACTAATGATTCCCAGGTACATGAAGTAAAATATGCTAATAATACATTAAAAATAGGAAACCTCAGTAAAGAAATAAAATCTTTTTAAAAGAACCAATGAAGGCCGGGCGCGGTGGCTCACGCCTGTAATCCCAGCACTTTGGGAGGCCGAGGCGGGTGGATCATGAGGTCAGGAGATCGAGACCATCCTGGCTAACAAGGTGAAACCCCGTCTCTACTAAAAATACAAAAAATTAGCCGGGCGCGGTGGCGGGTGCCTGTAGTCCCAGCTACTCGGGAGGCTGAGGCAGGAGAATGGCGTGAACCCGGGAAGCGGAGCTTGCAGTGAGCCGAGATTGCGCCACTGCAGTCCGCAGTCCGGCCTGGGCGACAGAGCGAGACTCCGTCTCAAAAAAAAAAAAAAAAAAAAAAAAGAACCAGTGAAAATTCTACAGCGAAAAGTATGATATCTGAATACATGCAAACACACACAGAGACTAGATTTATCAGCAAATGGGAAAGGAGAAAAAGTGACAGTGAAATTGAGTTGACGATAGGTGAAACTTCAATTTACTATTGAAGTGAAATTTAACAAGAGGCAAAATATTCAAGAAGTATGACAAGAACTTAAGAGACTGGTAGGACAGTATCATGAGCCTTATTACCATTGTGTAATTAGAATTCCAGAAAAAGAAAACAGAGTGAGCAGAAAAAAAATTAAGAAATAATAGTTGAAAAATTCTGTTATTGGTGAAAGACATAAACATTTGTATTTAAAAAGTTCAGAAAACTTCAAGTAGGGTAATAGTAGAAAAAACCCACATCATATTTAACTGACTGAAAACCAAATATAAGGATAAAATTGTGGAAACAACCATAGAAATGATTTATTACACTCACAGGAACAATAATTTGAAATTTCATTGACTTTGCATAAGAAACATTAGAGACCAGAAGGTAGTAGAAAATAACTTTAAAATGCTGAAACTAAAGAACGATTATCCTGGAATACTGTATCTAGCAAAAATATATTTCAAGAATGAAGACACAATGTCAGCACTTTCTGGCCAAAAAAAAAAAAAAAAAAAAACTAAGAAATTTATCACTAGCAGACCTACACTAAAGAAATAGAAAAGGAAATAATTTAGACTAAAGGAGGGTTATAAGAGATGGAAACCTGGAATTTAGGGAAAGAATAAAGAACATTCAAAATAATTATTTGAGAGGCTTATGCAAAAACAACAATAAAAGCAATGAATAACTGAGATAAAGAGTCTAGTAAAGGGTTCAATCTTGAATGTAATGATGAATGATATTTCCTTAAATGAGAAAATAAGATATGTAAAAATAAAAACAAACACAGATTCTAATTTAAAGTAAAAATAGAGCTTTCAAAACAGATACAGCTGATGATTCTCATTATTCATGGTTGTCATGTTTTCTAAGGTCACTGCAAACACTGAATTAGTAATTAGGGAACAACTGCTCCTAAGGGAAACACAGGTTTAGGTTCCTGCAAGTGTCTGGTCGAAACATTTCATCAAACAATCAATATTTAACCTTGTTTTATGTTTATTTCTGTTTAAAGACACATTATTTAAGATATATTTCATGTGAATAATTGTATGGTTTTGAATGAGTTAACTGTCAGGGACTTTGAGACCATTTGCCAAAGGTTCATTTGCCAAAGACCTTGTAAAACAAACCAGTCTTATCAGTGTTGACAGGCTCCTATTCCACATAACTCCTTTACAGGTAGCAGGGAATTAAAAAGAAAAAAAATTCTGCAGCCTCCTGATCTGCAAAATTACCTCACCTGCAAGTTCAACATATTTTATGCCTAGCCCAAAAGAGTTTAATATTTTCCAGGCCCTAGATAACGTAAGTTTTTTTGCACTTCCTCCCCACAACAATGCTTTTCACCATGCTTTCTAAAAAAATCTATTTTCGGCCAGGCATGGTGGCTCATGCCTGTAATCCCAGCATTTTGGGAGGCTGAGGCGAGTGGATCACTTGAGGTTGGGAGTTTGAGACAAGCCTGACCAACATGGAGAAACTCTGTCTCTACTAAAAATACAAAATTAGCTGGACGTGGTGGCACATGCCTGTAATCCCAGCTACTCGAGAGGCTGAGGCAGAAGAATTGCTTGAACCTGGGAAGCGGGGGGTGTGGCCATTGCACTCCAGCCTGGGCAACAAGAGCAAAACTCCATCTCAAAATAATAATAATAATAAAATAAAAAAATATATTTTTATCTCACGAATCCAGAAATTTATTTTCTTTTTCATCTTTCTCATAGCATTATCAGACACCAGTTCTATTGGATCAGGGTTCCACCCTTATGTTCTCATTTTACCTTAATAACCTCCATAAAGGTCCTGTCTCTAACACAGTCACATGGTGGAGAGTAGGGGTGGTTAGGCCTTCAACATATGAATTTTGGAGTAGTACAATTCAGGCCGTAGCACGGTGCTTTGGCGCTATGTTTGAGAACCATTTTAAATAGCAAAATTACCAACATATAAAAAGGACAGTAGATTACAATATGAGAGCTGAAATAAGAAGACAGCACATCACTTTGTTAGACTGCAGTTGAGAACGTCAGAATGTGTGTGACTCAAAAATGTGCTGCTCTCCACACCTACAGAAAAAACTGTGAAAGCACCATGTATATTGATTTGGTGCTAAAATTACAAATACATTTTAGCAAGTAGGCAAATTTTCCATTGTAGAATCCACACATAATGAGGAGGGTCAACTGTATGTGTATTTGCTTCTTAGAAACCTCTCTCCTTTTTGACAAATCTAGGTGGTAGAACATTTTATAATCTGAATCAGTGAGGAAAAACAAGGTGGATTATTTAGATAAATTCATGGTTAATGGCATAGGTATAATATTCTGGTTCATTCTTTACTTTCATTATAAAAGGAGGAATGAAAATAGTAATAATTACAGCTAATACTTGTTGAGTTTGTGTTTGGCATAAACCACTCCTCTAAGTGCTTGACCCTCAATCAGCACAAAAACTCCATAAGGTGGGTACTGTCATGTTTATTTTACACATCAGGAAACTGTGGTGCAGAAAGTTTTGGTAACATTACATTAAAAAAATTATGTCAGAATATTTTTCTCTGTCAGCCATGACAGAGATAGTCCCTAGTATGTGCTGTTCTACTTCTTCATCATTTTAAAATTAAATGTAACTATCCCCTTTTTGAATATATGGTTAGCATCCCAAAATAAGAAAGAAGGGGAAAAAGCACATGTTATACAAACACATGTGTAATATTCACTTATGCATATGAACCAGCATATTAAGATCCATGTTTAATTGCTTATTTTATGATACAGTTTGGTAAGCCCCTCTCTGTTTTCCAGAAATTTTAACCAAATATGTTTGTATGAAGAATATCAGGGGGAAATTAGAAAAGGAAGAATGTGCTGCAACTCCAATTTAGCATAGATACAGAACATACATGGATGGGCTTAAGGATTCAATGAGAATAGAAAATTTAAGCTAGGGAAAATCCTGAAAAGTCCAGAAAATCTTGTGATGAAATGGGTTTCTGGTCAATGCCTAGACTGGTTATTATTAATAAATATCACATCATACTGGGCATATCACTATTTTTATTTTTTTTCTTTTTCCATAGGTTATTGGGGGTACTGGTTGTGTTTGGTTACATGAGGAAGTTCTTTAGTGCTTATTTGTGAGATTTTGGTGCACCTATCACCTGAGCAGTATACACTGCACCTTATTTGTAGTCTTTTATTCCTCACCCCCTTTCATTCCTCCCACGAAGTCCCCAAAGTTCATTGTATCATTCTTGTGCCTTTTTGTCCTCATAGCTTAGCTCCCACATATCAGTGAGAACATACAATGTTTGGTTTTTCATTCCTGAGTTACTTCACTTAAAGTAATAGTCTCCAGTCTCATTTAGGTCACTGCCTAATGACCTAAATTAATTCATTAATTCATTCCTTTTTATGGCTGAGTAATATTCCACTATATATATATACACATATATATATATGTATATATATGTGTATATATATGTGTATATATGTATACATATATATATGTGTATATATACATATATATATGTATACATATATATATACATATATATATATATGTATACATATATATATACACCAGTTTCTTTATCCACTCATTGATTGATGGGCATTTGGGTTGGTTCCATGATTTTGCATTTGCGAATTGTGCTGCTATAAACGTGTGTGCAAGTGTCATTTTCATATAATGACTTCTTTTCCTCTGGGTAGATACCCAGTAGTGGGATTGCTGGATCAAATGGTATTTCTACTTTTAGTTCTTTAAGGAATCTGCCACTGTTTTCCATAGTGGTTGTGCTAGTTGACATTCCTACCAGCAGTATAGAAGTGTTCCCTTTTCACCGCATCCATGCGAACATCTACTGTTTTTTAATTTTTTGGATTATGGCTATTCTTGCAGGAGTAAAGTGGTATTGCATTGTGGTTTTGATTTGTGTTTCCCTGATCATTAGTGATGTTGAGCATTTTTTCATGTGTTTGTTGGTCATTTGTATATCTTCTTTTGAGAATTGTCTATTCACGTCCTAGTCCACTTTTTGATGGGATTGTTTCTTTTTTTCTTGCTGATTTGTTTGAGTTCATTGTAGATTCTGGATATTAGTCCTTTTTCAGGTGTATAGATTGTGAAGATTTTCTCCCACTCTGTGGGTTTCTGTTTTCTCTGCTGACTGTTCTTTTTGCCGTCTCTTTTTACTTTAAGTCCCAGCTATTTATCTTTGTTTCTATTGCATTTACTTTTGGGTTCTTGGTCATGAAATACTTGTCTAAGCCAGTGTCTGGAAGGGTTTTTCCAATGTTATCTTCAGATTTTTTTTTTTCTGTTTCAGGTCTTAGATTTAAGTCCTTAATCTATCCTGAGTTGATTTTTGTATCAAGTGATGATCCGGTTTCATTCTCCTACATGTAGCTAACCAGTTATCCCAGCACCATTTGTTGAAAAGGGTGTTTTATCCCCACTTTATGCTTTTGTTTGCTTTGTGAAAGATCAGTTGGCTATATTTGGGTTTATTTCTGGGTTCTCTGTTCTGTTCCATTGGTCTGTGCGCCTGTTTTTATACCAGTACCATGCTGTTTTGGTGACTATGGCCTTATATTATAGGTTGAAATCAGGTAACATGATGCTTCCACAATTGTTCTTTTTTGCTTAGTCTTGCTTTTGCTATGTGGGCTCTTTTTTGGTTCCATATGAATTTTAGGATTGTTTTTTTCTAATTCTGTGAAGGATGATGGTGGTATTTTGATGGGAATTGCATTGAACAATATGGTCATTTTCACAATATTGATTCTACCCATCCATGAGCATGGGATGTTTCCATTTGTTCGTGCCATCTATGATTTCTTTCAGCAGTGTTTTGTAGTTTTCCTTGTAGAGATCTTTCACCTCCTTGGTTAGGTATATTCATAAGTATTTATTTTTTTGCAGCTATTTTAAAAGAGGTTGAGTTCTTGATTTGATTCTCTTCATAGTCATTGTTGGTGTATAGAAGAGCTACTGATTTGCGTACATTAATATTGTATCTGGAAACTTTGCTGAATTCTTTTATCAGTTCTAGGAGCTTTCCAGAGGAGTCTTTAGGGTTTTCAAGGTAAACGATTATTGTCAGCAAACAGTGACAGTTTGAATTCCTCTTTACCAGTTTGGATACCCTTTATTTCTTTCTCTTGTCTGATTGCTCTGTCTAGGACATCCAGTACTATGCTGAAGAGGAGTGGTGCGAGTGGGCGTCCTTGTCTTGTTCCAGTTCTAAGAGGGAATGCTTTCAACTTTTCCCCATTCAGTATTATGTTGGCTGTGGGTTCGTCATAGATGGCTTTTATTGCATTAAGGTATGTCCCTTGTATGCCAATTTTGCTGAGAGTTTTAATCATAAAGCCATGCTGGATTTTGTCAAATGCTTTTTCTGCATCTATTGAGATGATCATGTGATTTTTGTTTTTAATTGTTTATGTGGTATATCACATTTATTCACTTGTGTATGTTAAACCATCTCTGGATTCCTGGTATGAAACCGACTTGATCATGGTGGATTATCTTTTTGATTTGTTGTTGGATTTGGTTAGCTAGTGTTTTGTTAAGGATTTTAGCATCCATGTTCATCAGGACTATTGATCTGTAGTTTTCTTTTTTGGTTATGTCCTTTCCTGGTTTTGGTATTAGGGTGATGCTGGCTTCACAGAATGAATTAGGGAGGGTTCCCTCTCTATCTTATGGAATAGTGTCAATAGCATTGGTACCAATTCTTCTTTGAATGTCTGGTAGAATTCTGTGAATCCGTCTGGTCTTGGACTTTTTTTCATTGGTAATTTTTTAACTACCATTTCAATCTTGCTGCTTGTTATTGGTCACTGAGGGTATCTAATTCTTCCTGATTTAAACTAGAAGGGTAGTATTTTTCCAGGAATTTATCCATTTCTTCTAGGTTTTCTAGTTTATGCACATAAAGGTGTTCATAGTCACCTTGAATGATCTTTTGTATTTCTGTGGTGTTGGTTGTAATATTTCCCATTTTGTTTCTAATTGAGCTTATTTGGATTTTCTCTCTTCTTTTCTTGGTTAATCTGGCCAATGGTCTATCAGTTTTATTTACCTTTTCAAAGAACCAGCTTTTTGTTTCATTTATCTTTTGTATTTTTTTGTTTGTTTCAATTTCATTTAGTTCTGCTCTGGTCTTGGTTATTTCCTTTCTTCTGCTGGGTTTGTGTTTGGTTTGTTCTTGCTTCTCTAGTTCCATGAGGTGTGACCTTAAAGTGTCAGTTTCTGCTCTTTCAATCTTTTTGATGTAGGTGTTTAGGGCTATGAACTTTCCTGTTAGCACCACCTTTGCTGTATCCAAGAGGTTTTGATAGGTTGTGTCACTGTTGTTGTTCAATTCAAAGAATTTTTTAAATTTCCATCTTGATTTTGTTTTTTACCCAATGATCATTCAGGAGCAGGTTGTTTAATTTCCATGTATTTGCATGGTATTGAAGGTTCCTTTTAGAGTTGATTTCCAGTTTTATTCCACTGTGGTCTGAGAGAGTGCTTGATATAATTTCAATTTTCTTAAATTTATTCAGGCTCATTTTGTGGCCTATCATATCATCTATCTTGGAGGAAGTTCCATGCACTGTTGAATAGAAGTGTATTCTGTGGTTGTTGAATGAAATGTTCTGTATATATCTAAGTTCATTTGTTCCGAGGTATAATTTAAATCCACTGTTTCTTTGTTGACTTTCTGTCTTGATGACCTGTCTAGTGCTGTCAGTGTAGTATTGAAGTCCTCCACTATTATTATATTGCTGTCTATCTCATTTTTTAAAATTTGTTAAGATTTGTTAGGTCTGTTAGTACTTGTTTTATAAATTTGGGAGCTCCAGTGTTAGGTGCATATATGTTTAGGATTCTGATATTTTCCTGTTGGACAAGGCCTTTTACCATTATATAATGTCCCTCTTTGTCTTTTTTCACTGCTGTTGCTTGAAAGTTTGTTTTGTCTGATGTAAGAATAGCTACTCCTGCTCACTTTTGGTGTACATTTGCATGAAATGCCTTTTACACTCTTTTACTTTAAGTTTATGTGAGTCCGTATGTGTTAGATGAGTCTCTTGAAGGCAGCAGATAGTTAGTTTGTGAATTCTCATCCATTCTGAAGTTCTGTATCTTTTAAGTGGAGCATTTAAGCCATTTACAGTCAATGTTAGTTTTGAGATGGGAGGTACCATTCCATTCATCATGCTATTTGTTGCCTGTGTACCTTGGTTTTTGTTTTTTCTTGTTTTTTAAATTGTGTTTTTGTTTTATTGGTCCTGTGGGATTCATGCTTTAAAGAGGTTCTGTTTTGATGTGTTTCCAGGATTTCTTTCAACATTCAGAGCTTTTTTTTTTTTTTGATGGAGTCTTTCACTGTTGCCCAGGCTGGAGTGCAGTGGCACGATCTTGGCTCACTGCAAGCTCCGCCTCCCGGGTTCATGCCATTCTCCTGCCTCAGCCTCCCAAGTAGCTGGGACTACAGGCGCCCACCACCACACCCGGCTAATTTTTTTTGTATTTTTAGTAGAGACAGGGTTTCATCATGTTAGCCAGGATGGTCTTGATCTCCTGACCTTGTGATCCGCCCGCCTTGGCCTCCCAAAGTGCTGGGATTACAGGCATGAGCTACTGCGCCTGGCTGGTTTAGATCTTTTTTAAGAAGTTCTTGTAGTGGAGGCTTGGTAATGGTGAATGTCTTAGTTTTTGTTTATCTGAAAAACACTGTATCTTTTCTTTATATATGATGCTTAGTTTCACTAAATACAAAATTCTTGGCTGGTAATTGTTTTGTTTTAGGAGGCTGAAGATAGGGCCTCAATCTCTTCTAGCTTGTAGGGTTTCTGCTGAGAAAACTGATGTTATACTGATAGGTTTTCCTTTATAGGTTACCTTGCGTTTTTGTCTCACAGCTCTTAGGATTCTTTCCTTCATCTTAATTTTAGATAACCTGATGACAATGTGCCTAGGTGATGATCTTTTTTGTGATGAATTTCCCAGGTGTTTTTTGTGCTTCTTGTATTTTGATGTCTAGGTCTCTAGCAAGGCCAGGGAAGTTTTCCTCGATTATTCCCCCTAATATGTTTTCCAAACTTTTAGATTCTCTACTTCCTCAGGAACACTGATTATTCTTAAGCTTGGTCATTTAACAAAATCCCAGACTTCTTGGAGGCTTTGTTCATATTTTCTTATTCTTTTTTCTTTGTCTTTGTTGGATTGGGTTAACTCAAAGAGCTTGTCTTCATGCTCTGAATTTCTTTCTTCTACTTGTTCAATTCTATTGCTGAGACTTTCCAGAGCATTTTGCATTTTGATAAGTGTGTTCATTATTTCCTGAAGTTATGATATTTTTTATTTATGCTATCTATTTCCTTGAATATTTCTCCCTTTGATTCTTGTATCTTTTTTGGATTTCTTTGCATTGAGCTTCACCTTTCTCTGGTACCTCCCTGATTAGCTTAATAACTAACCTGCTGAACCTGTGTGTGCCTTGGGCTACTTGCCTCCCAGGTGGAGGTGGTGAGCAGAGATTGCGCCATTGTACTCCAGCCTGGGCAGCAAGAGCAAAACTCCATCTCAATAATTTAAAAAAAAGATAATAAGGCTTTAGTTCTTCCCTGGCCTGTGAAGTCTGCTTGCTGGATTCATGCCCTTCCCCTCGAGCGGAGTTCTGGCCAGGAGGCTTCTCAACAGGTTCAAATTGTTACAAAGTTCAGCTGGAGAGTTCCTTCTCCCTATGGTGTTTTCCCTGCACCTGCTGAATTGTTTTTCAGTTAAATTAGGGATTTCTTCTTGGTTTGAATCCATTGCTGGTGAGCTAGTGTGATTTTTTTGGGGGGTGTTAAAGAGCCTTGTTTTTTCATATTACCAGAGTTGGTTTACTGGTTCCTTCTCATTAAGGTAGGCTCTGTCAGAGGGAAGGTCTAGGGCCGAAGGCTGTTGTTCAGATTCTTTTGTCCTGCAGGGTGTTCCCTTGATGTAGTACTCTCCCCTTTTTCCTATGGATGTGGCTTCCTGAGAGCCAAGCTGTAGTGATTGTTATCTCTCTTCTGGGTCCAGCCACCCAGCAAGTCTACCAGGCTCCAGGCTGGTACTGAGGGTTGTCTGCACAGAGTCCTATGATGTGAACTGTCTGTGGGTCTCTCAGCAGCAGATACCAGCACCTGTTCTGGTGGAGGTAGCAGGGGGGTGAAATGGACTCTGTGAGGGTTCTTAGCTTTATGGTTTAATGCTCCATTTTTATGCTGGTTGGCTTCCTGCCAGGAGGTGATGCTTTCCAGAGAGCATCAGTTGTGGAAATATGGAGAGGAACGGTGGTGGGTGGAGCCCTAGAACTCCAAAGAGTATATGCTCTTTTTGTTTAGATACCAGGGTGGGTAGGGAAGGACCATCAGGTGGGGGCAGGGCTAGGTATGTCTGAGCTCAGACTCTCCTGGGGCAAGTCTTGCTGTGGCTGATGTGGGGGTTAGGGGTGAGGTTCCCAGGTCAATGGAGTTATGCACCTAGGAGGACTATGGCTGCCTCTGCTGAGTCACTCAGGTTGTCAGGAAGTGGGGGAAAGCTGGCAATCACAGGCCTCACCCAGCTCCCACGCAATCCGAAGGGCAGGTCTCACTCCCACCATGCCCCGCCTCACAGCACTGAGTCTGTTTCCAGAAAGTGGGCAAGCAGGGCTGAGAATTTGCCTTGGGCTACTTGCCTCCCAGGCGGAGGTGGTGAGCGGAGATTGCGCCATCGCACTCCAGCCTGGGCAACAAGAGCAAAACTCCATCTCAATAATAAAAAAAAAGATACTAAGGCTTTAGTTCTTCCCCGGCCTGTGGAGTCTGCTTGCTGGATTCATGCCCTTCCCCCCAAGCAGAGTTCTGGCCAGGAGGCTTCTGAACAGGTTCAAATTGTTACAAAGATCAGCTGGAGAGTTCCTTCTCCCTGTGGCGTTTTCCCTGCACCTCTGGCCACCCTCCGGAAGGATCCCTATGGTGCCAGGCAGGAATGACCTGCTTGGGGACCCAGTGAGCTCACAGGGCCTTTCCCACTTCTTCCTCTACCTGTGTATTTCACTTGGCTCTCTACATCGACTCAGCTCCAGGTAAGTTCAGAATCTTCTCCTGTAAACTAGACCTTCGATTTCCCCTGTAAGGGTGTGTGTTCCGGGGCAGAGGATCTCCCTTTTCCACTTCTGCAGTTTGGGCACTCACTGTATTTGGGGTGTCTCCAGGGTCCTGCAGGCGCAGTTGGCTTCCTTCAGGGGGGTCTGTGGGTCCTCTCAGGTTTCCTGATTTATTCCTGCAGTCGTTCTGGAGCTAAAAATCCATGATGTGAGCCTCTGCACGCTGCTCTGTCCGTCCAAGTCGGAGCTGCAATCTAGTCCTGCCCCTTGTCTGCCATAATGCCTCCACTATTTTTTAAATTTAATTTTTATTTTAAGTTCAGGGGAACATGTGCAGATGTGTTCTATAGGTAAATGTGTCATGGGGGTTTGTTGTACAGATTATTTTGTCATCCAGGTATTAAGCCTAGTACCCAATAGTTATTGTTCCTGAGCCTCTTCTTCCTCCCACACTCTATCCTCCAATAGGCCTCAGTGTGTGTTGTTCCCTTCTTTGTGTCCATGTGTTATTATTTAGCTCTAACTTAAAAGTGAGAATATACGGTATTTGTTTTTCTGTTCCTGTGTTAGTTTGCTAAGGATAACTTCCTCCAGTTCTATCCATGCCCCTGCAAAGGACATGTTTTTTATGGCTGAATAGTATTCCATGATGTATATGTACCACATTTTCTTTCTGTGTATCACTGATGGGCATTTAGGTTGATTCCATGTCTTTGCTATTGTGAGTAGTGCTGCAAAGAACATACACTTGCATCTGTCTTTATAATAGAACAATTTATATTCCTTTGGGTATCTACCCAGTAATGGTGTGTCTGGAATTGGTGGGTTCTTGGTCTTGCTGACTTCAAGAATGAAGCCGCGGACCCTTGCTGTGAGTGTTACAGTTCTTAAAGATGGTGTGTCCGGAGTTTGTTCCTTCAAATGTTCAGATGTGTCCAGAGTTTCTTCCGTCTGGTAAGTTCATGGTCTCACTGGCTTCAAGAGTGAAGTTGCAGACCCTCACAGTGAGTGTTACAGCTCATAAAGGTGGCACATCTGGAGTTGTTCATTCCTCGTGGTGGGCTCGTGGTCTCACTGGCCTCAGGAGTGAAGCTGCAGACCTTCGCTGTGAGTGTTACAGCTCATAAAGGTAATGCAGACCCATGAGTGAGCAGCAGCAAGATTTGTTGCAAAGAGCGAAAGAACAAAGCTTCCACAGCGTGGAAGGGGACCCCAGTGGGTTGCCGCTGCTGGCTCAGGCAGCCTGCTTTTATTCCCTTATCTGGCCCCACCCACATCCTGCTGATTGGTCCATTTTACAGAGAGCTGATTGGTCCGTTTTACAGACAGCTGATTGGTCCGTTTTGACAGAGTGCTGATTGGTGTGTTTACAATCCTTTAGCTAGACACAAATGTTCTCCAAGTCCCCACCAGACTAGCTAGACAAAGAGCACTGATTGGTGCATTTACAAACCTTTAGCTAGACACAGAGTGCTGATTGGTGCCTTTACAATCCTTTAGCTAGACACAGTGTGCTGATTGGTGCATTTACAATCCTTTAGCTAGACACAAAAGTTCTCCAAGTCCCCACCCAACCCAGAAGCCCAGCTGGCTTCACCTCTCAATGGCACTCTGAGTGGGACTCCGACAGCCCAGAGGGAGCTCTTCCCCTGATCAAGCCCAGCAGGCACCTGCCGGCCATGTGGAGTGTGGGGCCGCAGAGCCTGCACCCACCCAGAATCTGCGCCAGCACCACTAGCACCCAGCGCAGCCCAGCTCCCGCGCGCACCTCTCCCTCCACACCTCCCCGTGAGCAGAGGGAGCCTGCTTCAGCCTCGGCCAGCCCCAGAAAGGGGCCCCCACAGTGTAGTGGCGGCCTGAAGGGCTCCTCTAGTGTGGCCAGAGCAGGCGCTGAGGCCCAGGAGGCGCGGAGAGTGAGCGAGGGCTGCTAGCACCTTGTCACCTCTCAAAGGCATTGCTGATTGAATGGTATTTCTATTTTTAGGTCCTTGAGGAATCGTAACATTGTCTTCCAACAATGAATTAAGCAATTTACGCTCCCACCAACAGTGTATAAGTGTTCCCTATTCTTCACAATCTCACCAGCATCTGTTATTTTTTGCCTTTTTAATAATAGTCATTCTGACTGGAGTGAGATGGTATCTCATTGTGGTTTTAGTTTGTGTTTCTCTGATGATCAGTGATGTTCAGCTTTTTCTCATATGATTGTTGGTCACATGTATGTCTTCCTTTGAAAGTGTCTGTTCATGTCCTTTAGGTACTTTTTCATGGTGTTTTTCTTTTTTGTAAATTTGTTTAAGTTCCTTATAGATGCTGGATATTAGAACTTTTCAGCTGCATAGTTTGGAAAAATTCTTTCCCAGTCTGTAAGTTGTCTGTCTATTCTCTGGATAGTTTCTTTTCCTGTGCAGAAGCCCTTCAGTTTAATTAGATCTCATTTGTCAACTTTTACTTTTGTTGCAATGGCTTTTGGCATCTTCACCATGAAATCTTTGTCCACGCCTATGTCCAGAATGATATTGCCTAGGTTATCAACAAGAATTTTTATAGTTTTAGGTTTTAAATGTAAGTCTTTAACCCATCTTGAGTTAATTTTTGTATATGGTGTAAGGAAGGGGTCTAGTTTCAGTCTCCTGCATATGGCTAGCCAGTTAGCCCAGCACCATTTATTGAATAGGGAATACATTCCCCATTTCTTGTTTTTGTCAGGTTTGTCAAAGATCAGATAGTTGTAGGAATGCAGACTTATTTCTGGGTTCTCTATTCTGTTCCATTGGTATATGTGTCTGTTTCTGTACCAGTACTATGCTGTTTTGGTTACTATAACCCTATAGTATAGTTTGAAGTCAGGTAGTGTGATGCCTCTAGTTTTGTTCATTTTGCTTAGAATTACCTTGGATATTCATGCTTTTTTTTTTGGTTCCGTATGAATTTTAAAATAGATTTTTCTAGTTTTGTGAAAAAAAAGTCAATGGTTGTTTAATAGGAGTGGCACTGAGTCTGTAAATTGCTTTGGGCAGTATGGCCATTTTAATGATAATGATTCTTTCTATCCATGAGCATGGAATGTTTTTCCGTTTGTTTGTGTCATCTCTGATTTCTTTGGGCAGTGTTTTCTAGTTCTTGTAGAGAGTTTTCTCCTCCTTTGTTAGCTGTATTCCTAGGTATATTTGTTTTATTTTTGTGTGTGGACATTTTGAATGGGATTATATACTTGATCTGGGTCTCGGCTTGACTGTTAGTATATAGCAATGCTAGTGATTTTTTCACATTAATTTTGTAACATGAGACTTTGCTTAAATTGTTGTGCCTCATTTGGAGGAAAGAAGGCACTCTGGCTTGTCAGTGTTATTGTGTTGATTTTTTTCTTTGTGAGCTTATCGACCTTCAGTCTTTCAAGTTTCTGATCTTTGGTTTTTTTTTTTTTTTTTTTTTTTAATCCTGCTTGATGACCTTGAGGGCTTGATTGTGGTATTAGATGAATTCAGCCAACTGGCTTCATTTCTGGAAGATTGTAGAGAGCCAGCCTCAGCTCCAAACTCCTGGACTGCGTGCTCTAATTCTGGAGGACCCATATTGGATGCCGACTTTTTTCTCTGGCTGCTCGAGGTTAGGAATCCACGGTGCTGCGGGGAACAGTGCTGCAGGGGGCCCAGGTGCCCCTGGACCACTCTGATGCATGGTGTCAGCCGAAGCATTTAATAAAGCAGTGACAGCAGGATCTGTCCTCATTCACACGTGCCAGCAGCAGCAGTTGCAGCAGCACAACAGAATGCTAGCCTGCCAGGATGCCTGCCTCCCTGTGGGCATTCACCTCAGTGGTGGAGGCAACTCAGTTGTGGGTGCCGCGAGGTGCGGGAGGGAGCATGCCTGCGGCTATGTGCAATGTCGCACTTGAGGTGGTGTTGGCTCCAAGGCGGGGCGCTGGCGAGTCCAGATCTGGGTGCTTTCTCTGTGCCCTGTAAGCAGGAGTAGTCACTTAGGGTGGAGGCTGATCTGCTGCTGTTCTCTGTACAGTGTTAGTGCAAGAGCGGGTTGCGGGCAGGAATGGGGCTGGCTGGCTTTGTACCCGACAAGGCTCGGTCTGTAATGGCAGTCAGTGGGGCTATCGGAGGTGGATTGAACTCCTGTGTGCTGGCAGGGCAACAGAAGCAGAACTCACCTGGCAGACACCTGGCAGACACGTACTAGCAGTGTGAAGTGGGGAGTTGCCGTGAGGCAGAAGGAAGCTGCAGTGTGGAGAGGGAGCGTGACGGCTGGTGCGTGGCCACAGGGGACACCCTGCTGGAGCTCTCCGCCAGTCAGGCACGGTCCACCAGTGCAGAAGCTATGGTGAGGACCCCCAGGGCACCTGCGGCTGCCCTGCAAGCAGGCGTGGCCAGGCTGGAGCACCAGGAGAGGCCAGCAGACCAAAGTGTTCTCAGGTTGGACCATCCCTGCCCGATGGGCAAGACTGCCCGGCAGAAATCAGGTCTGACAGGTCCCTTAGGGCTAAAGTCTCCTATGAGAGCAAGTGGAGCCTAGGGGGACGACCAACCCCAGCTTTGCTCTGCTACCAACGCTCCCGCATCAAACCCTCTGGGCTCGACATCTGTTGGCTTGCTGCACCCACCACTTCTCTAAGCAGGTCTCCCGGCCAACTCCAGTGTCCCTGGTGAGCAAGGAGTTTCCACCTGCTGAGCTTCCAGAGGCTGGGGACGACAGCGAGCTGCTCCTTAACTACTCAACTCCACTCCTTCTCCTGGAGCTGTTGGGGGTCAGGAATGAGTCCCAGTGTGCTGCAGCCCCGTGTAGGGTTCCAAGCTTTCTCCTTCTTCAGCCCAGCTTCTGTGTCTTCCCTCCATCCACTCTCAGTGCCTTCCCTCTGAAGATCTGTTAGGAGCACAGCAGTCCTCTTGGTCCCTGGGACGGAGCGGTTCCACCTGGCTTTATCTAATCAGCCATCTTGCCCCCCTCCCCCATGTTATTTTTTTAAACTGCTCTTTGAATTCAGTGATATTTTCTGAAGGCTGCAAACTACTACATATAACCATTTCGGTAATAATGTTGGAAGTTTTATAGGTAGAAAAACAACTTGTTTCAATTTACAAGTAATTGATTACCCGTGAGGTGGAGGTTTTTTAAACGCTTTATATGCTTGTTACCCATTTGTGCAAAGAATTCTAAATGTGTCAGGCTTATTAATCACATAAAGACGATAAAACGGTTAGGATTGGAAGAAATGTTATGTAATTTCTTCCTCAAATGTAAGACTAATCATATAAACTATAGCTTTTACACTGTTGGTTCAGTTAGAAACAATGATACATCTCTAGAATTCAGTTAAAGAGGGATTCTTGGTCTAGCCCAGTAGTTCTCAAATCAAGATGCATATTACCACTGCCTGGAGGCTTTTTAATAAATACTAACAGCAGGTTTCCATCTTCAGATACCCTAATGTGTGACCTAGTCATCAATATTAAAGCTTCTCAGGTACTTTTAATGTGCAGCAAAGGTTGAGAACTTTTAGTCTAGACTATATCTGAAGTCTGTAGCCATCTAACACAGATTTTAATTCTCATTTATCAGCATCATCTAGAACAATCTTCTTAATCTTTATTCCATATTTTTCTTTCATGTAGTCACAAGTCTATGACTTTTGTTATAGTTAATTACTACATTAAATTATATCTTTGGTTAACATCTCAGACTGTATTTCTACTTTTTGGATGGGGGATATATCCTCAGAAATGTAAGCATTTGACTGTTTCATACTTGGATTTGTTTAAGGAGTGAAGCTCTTTTAAACTATGCTGGAGTAATAGCATCATAAACTCAGTTGACCATTTTCTAATAGTATTTAATTTTAAGAACCTAGAGAAAGGAGTTAGAGCGAACTTCCAAGATCACTTTTAATCTGTGCTTAGCACTTACCTTTTTCATTTTATTTGTAGTGAGCGCATAAAAAGTCATTTTTATCTTTTTAAGTCTAGTGCATTAACACATTTTATATTCAAGTACAAATTATGTTTTTTTAACAATTTCCAGACTTTAGGTTACACCTATCTTTCCAGTGATAAGAATAATTTGCAAGTGACTGCCTGAAATAACTTCATAACTTCCAGACCAGACTATTAGACTATATTAAAAGTGGAGCCATGTCCTTTCTAATCCATCGGTGTAAGCTCTCAAGGGAAAATAAAATACCGCAGTAAAAATGACTGTTACATTTCTGTTCTTTAATCCATTATTCACCTTCAGTGCTGTCACCTGGATTCTAATTAGGTCTTCATGCAGGGTTCTGATCCTTGGAGACAGATTGGTTTATTTTTCCTCTGGCCTGTAAGTATCACCGAGCAGGCATGAAAGATGATTCTTTCCTTCTCTCAGCCCTACTTTCCTTTCAAATCTTTAGAAAATAATATTTTGCTTCTGTCATTTATAATCTGGTGCTGCTGATAGTTATGCATCTCAAGATGTTTGTATATTAATGAGTGTGGTTCACTCTTATTTCCTACTGTATCCTGTTAATGTTACAAATTATTTCTTCTTAAGGAGTAAACAATTTCTCCTGTGTTGTGGTTTTCTGAGTGTGGCTGGTCTGAGATTGCAGTATGTATTGAAAAAGAAAAATTAGAGGTACATTTACATCATAGTTTGTGGATATCTTCGACAAGATGACATTGTACATTGAGGCAAAATGTCATAAAATCTTAAATTGTATTCTTTGAGGCTGCAGAATATGAATGTATTATAAGAATGTTGACTCTATTCCTAGTTCAAACCATTTGATTTTCAAGAGTAACTGAAGAGCTATTTATATAGCTTTACGCAACTCTATTAAGTATAACAAATATGTAAGGCAGAGAGTAATACTGACAGTTCAATTTTCACACTCAAAGTACTCTATGTCATCAAAAAGAAAACCCCTAATTTGTAATAAATATTTAAAAGTTCATTTGGGGAAGTTTATCTAAACCAGTAAAGAACATCATTTAGTATAAAAACTCTAGGTTTCTTCATCCATCTACCTTCTCTCACCACTACCACCACTACCATTAGCAAAGTGGAAACAAAAGGAAGTTATTATTCTCAAACTATTTTATGACATTTTTACATCATAAAAAGTAGCACACATATTCAAATTGGGAAATCACAATAAAAGAGACTTGCAGACTTTCCTTAATATTAATCAACACTTATTTTTAGAAATTTTATATAGTCCTTGATAAATAACCATCTGTTTGGGTTTCTGAGGTCATCACTTACTGCATTTGATTTAGATTACACCTCCTTGTATAGACTCACATTAGGTAAAGCAACATGGAATTAGTAGTTGTAATTAAAATCTACTCTGGATGCAGCCTCATGTAGCAGGCCAGAGGAGTGGGTATTGCAGTAGTTTGCTACTGTTTCTCGTGGATATAGAAATTTCTAGTCCTAATGCTTTGTCACAGACAATACAGAATGCTGTGTGTCAAAGACAAGACCAAGGGAAAACATTTTCACTTATACTTTCTTTTTTTCCTGCTGAGCACTCCTTGTTACTTGAGAATCCCTTTGCAAACTAATTTTATAACTTTTCATCTTTGAAAACCTGTGGTCTATGTGCTGTCAAAATTTCTAAATCCTGGGGTGATAATTTCTGCCATTTTTGAAAACTTTGGCAAAATTTTCTGAAGAAACATGTCATTTGCTCAATCCTGAAACAAGAATAAACTCAGAACAGGTACTTTATTAGAGGATTTTGAAAATAAAGGTGGTTTACTTCCCTTCTGTCAAATACCTGTGCCTCAAAAGCATTATCTTAAAAATATATAAAGACTGAAGCTTCTTTAAAATAAGGTCTAAAAATGGATTAGTGATTATATATCAGTCATATAATAATGTATTTTCTCAGTAGGAATTTGAATAATTTATTTAACATTAATTGACTAGTTTATGTCATTTTCCCCAAAAATTGTTAAAATAATTGATTGGATGCTATTTTACTTTAAGAAGCCATAATCCTACTACTTAGATATTTCATTCTCTCTACTCAGAATGTTAAACGTATTATTATTTTTTCCTTTGTCACCTTATCTTATTTTATCTTATTTTTTATTTTTAATTTTTATGGATACATAATAGCTGTACATATTTATGGGGTACATGTGAAATTTTGAAACAAGCCTATGATGTGTAATAATCAAATCAAGGTAATTAATTGGAATATCTATATTCCAATATATGAGATATATGATATATCACATACATCATACATATCACACATATATATGTGATATATCACATATACCGTGTATCACATATATATGTTCTGTTCATAAGTTCTGTGTCCCAGTCTGGACACTGACCATTGAAAAGCAGATGCTTTTCTGTACCAGGAGCTGTTGATGCATGCCGTGCTCCTTGACTTTTCCATCCTAAAATACCACTATTAAGTCTGTGCTCTGAATGGTGGACAGGTGGTGAGGTGATGAGTGATCACGCTGCAGGCGCGACGTTCTCTAGCTTTAACCAGGACTTCTTGTACGACTTTTCCGCTTTCAGTATCCAGAGCTGATATGTAGCTTTATCCAACTGTAGGATTTGAGGTTATCTGATGAGGGATCAGGCAATAGCAATCCTCTGTTTTTTGACCTCCTGAGAGCTGAGTCCCCTTATCTTCCAGTCTTGTTTCATATTTGTAGGGTAATGTCTCTAAGAAAAAATGTGTCTTGGCAGCTTTGTCTGCACTCACAATTTCATCCTGTGATAAAACCTGGCTGTTGTCTCCGTAGGCAATATTCTCAGTAATATTTTATATATATAGATAATATCAATTATATATCACGTATTATATATCATATATATTATATATCAAATATATCATATCAAACACACACATATATACATATATGAAGAAATATGTTATATATATAATGGTTTCTTTATTCATTCATCCATTGATAGATTCTTAGGTGCATTCCATATCTTGACTATTATAAATATTGCTGTAATAAACAGGAGAGTGAGGACAGATACCTATTTGATATACTAGTTTCCACTCTTTTAGATATACACCCAATAGTGGAATTGCTGGATCATATGGTAGTTCAATTTTGAGTTTTTTGAGATCTTCCATACTGTTTTTTTGTAGTGGCTGTACTAATTTACAATCCCCCTCCAATAGTGTAGGAGGATTTGCCTTTTCCCACATCTTCCCCATAATCTATTATTGTCTGTTTTTTAAAAAATAATTTTAACTTTTATTTTAGATTCGGGAGGTACATGTGCAAGTTTGTTACATGGATATACTGTGTGATGCTGAGGTTTGGGGTATGATTGATCCTGTCACCCAGGTACTGAGCATAGTACCCAATAGTGAGTTTTTCAACTCTTGTCCCCCTCCCTCCCTCCCCTCTCTAGTATTCCCCATTGTCTATTGTTGCCATCTTTATGTCCATGTGTATCCAATATTTAGCTCCCACTAATAAGTGAGAATATGCAGTATTTGTTTTTTTGTTCATTCATTTACTGAATTGCTTATCTTTTTGATGAAAGCCGTTTTAACTGGAATGGGATAATATCTCATTGTGGTTTGATTTATATTTCTCTGATAATTTGTGATGTTGAGGATATTTTCATAAACATGTTAGTCATTTGTATATCTTTTGAAAAATGTCTATTCATATTTTTTGTTGATTCAAAAAATTGGATAATTTGCATTTTTTCCTATTAAGTTATTTGATCTCCTTCTATATTTTGGTTATTAATCCCTTGTGAGGGGGGTATTTTGCAATATTTTTCCCATTTGGTGGGTTGTCTCTTCATTGTTTATTGTTTGTTTGTTTTTGATGTGCAAAAGTTCTTTTGTTTAATATAATTTCATTGTTCACTTTTGCTTTGGTTGTCTGCTTTGAGGTCTTACTCAAGTCTTTTCCCAGACCAATATTCTGGAGCATTTCCTCAATGTTATCTTCAAGTGGTTTCATAGTTCAGGACTTACATTTAAATCTTTATTCAATTTTGACTGGGGTTTTGTATATGGTGAGAGATAAGAGTTTAATTTCATTCTTTTGCATATGAATATCCAGTTTTTCTAGCACCATTTATTGAAGAGACTGTTCTTTCATCAATGTATGTCCTTGGCACCTTTTTCAAAAGTGAGTTGACTGTAAATACATGAGTTTATTTCTGGATTCTGTATTCGGTTTCATTGGTCTATGTCTGTTTTTATGCCAGTACCATGCTGTTTTGGTTACTTTAGCTTTGTAGTATAATTTGAAGTCAGGTAATATGATGTCATCAGCTTTCTTCTTGCTCAGAAATGGTTTCACCAGTCAAGGTCTTTTGTGTTTTCATATAAATGTTAGGATTTATATGAAATCCTATTTTTCTATTTCTGTGAAGAAAGTCATTGTTATTTTGATAAGGATTACATTGAATCTGTAGATTGCTTTGGGTAGTATAGACATTTTAACCATATTGATTTTCTAATTCATGAACGTGTGATATCTTTCCAATTTTTTGTGTCCTTTTCAATTTCTTTCATCAATGTTTTATAGTTTTCATTGTAGAAATCTTTCACTTCTTTGGTTAAGTTTATTTCTAGGCATTTTGTTTTATTCGTAGCTATTAAATGGAGTTACATTTTGGCTTTATTTTTCAGATTGTTTATTCTTGGCAGATTAAAATATTCTTAATTTTTGGTATGTTGGTGCTTTATTTTAGTGTGGCTGAGCTGGTACCCAAGTTGCAAGACAAATTCATCTGTACTCTTCTCTCTCCTTTCCCTAGGCAGAAGGAGTCTCCTCCATGCTGTACTGCCTGAAGTTTGGGAAGGGGTGACACAGGCATCCTTATGGTTGCTGCAGCTGTTGTCACCCTGGGTCACACCCTTAGCCCATTGTCTCTGACAGCAGAGTAGCTCCAGGGCCTGCCCAAGGACTGCAGTCAACTGTGGCTTGACTGCCATTCAAATGTATTCCACTTCAGTCAGCCAGTAGTGAAGCAGGCCAGGACTTGGGTTCCTCCTACTGGAGTGGAGGACTCCCCTCTGGCCTAGGACTGGTCCAAATGCTCCCTTGGATGATATTGGCAATATTCTGCCTTGTGTTGTGTCCCCCTGTGACAAGATGGGACTGAGTTCCAATGCAAAGGAACACACTCACTCCACTCTCTCTCTTGCAAATACAGGGATTCTCTCTTTTCACTGCACTTCCTGGAATTGGGGGAGACATGATGTAGGCAATGCAAGGGGTATAGTTTGGATATTTGTCTCTGCCCAAATCTCATGTTGAATTGTAATACCCAATGCTGGAGGTGGGTTCTGGTGGGAGGTGTTTGGATCATGGAGGCAGATCTCTCATAGCTTGGTGCTGTCTTTGTGATAGTGAGTTCTCATGAGATCTGATTATTTAAAGGTATGTGGCACCTCCCCCCGACTCTCTCTCACTTGTGCCTGCTTTTGCCTTGTAATGTGCCTGCTCCCCTTTTGACTTCTGCCATGATTGAAAGCTTCCTGAGGCCTCCCTAAAAGCCAAGCAGATGCCATCACCATGCTTTCTGTAAAGCCTGCAGAACCATGAGCTAATTAAACCTCTTGTTATAAATTACCCAGTCTCAGGTATTTTTCATAACAATGCAAGAATGGCCTAATACAGCAAGACCGCCCTTTCTACCCTCTTCAATGCTTCTGTCTTTGCTATGTTAAAACCAGGTACTGTGATTGCTCACCTGATTTTTATTTTTTTATTCTTATGAAAGTGCTTTCTCGAATTGATAGTTGTTCAATTTGGTGTTCCTGTGGTAGGGACAATAGCTGGAGGGTTCTATTTGACCATCTTGTTCCTACTCCTCTTACCGATATATCATTATTTTATATTACAAAAAAATGCTTTCATTTTTATCCATTTATTTTTATAATTTGAGTCAAAGCAGGGAACATTTCTACTATGATGACTGTCAGTTTTCTCCTACATGCTTTAAAATTTCACAATCAGCATTCAATTACAGAAAAGGTCCAGTGGGGAAAAAAACATGTATTCACTATGCTTTCTGGAGAAAGAAATACTTTTGGTTTATCATACCTGTTTTTCATAAACTTAAAACTAAAATAGCACTGTTCTATATAATAAAGCATTAAGATATTTAAAAATCCAGTAAAGGCAAAAAATGTAATGAAGAGACATTTAATTTCAAATACAGCAGTAATATTATCTTGCTGATTCAATCAATATAACACTGAAACTGAAAAAATATGTAAGTTGCTGACAATTTATTGATGCTGGAAATGCTATTCTGACAAGTAAACTTGTATTTCATTAGCTACAAATATTTGCGTTATGTTTCTCTACCAAGAAAATGTAATTACATCTTTGCAGTTTTGAAAGTAGTGGAATACTGGTCATTACTAGAAATAGCTATGTTCCCATTTGGCTAATAACATTTTAGTTCATGTAACTGTGAGATAAAAGACTAAGGATTATTTATGTGTCTAAAGGATGATCCTAACTAACAACGCAAAGAACATGGGTAGCCTGTAACTTATTCTGTGAGATTCCAACCCTTTAGCTGGGACATTTTTCAAGACTGGGATATTTTATGTCAATATAAATCTAGACAACTCCCGAACACGAACCAGAGGATCACTAGAAGCTTTGCAAATCCAACATTATTTCTGGGGCATATTGGCTTGGACAAAATAGACTGTGTTCTTTTATGTCCACTTCTCCTCATTTTTTCTTAAAGAATACATAGGTTGTTGTCCCATAGAGCTAATAATTTTCTCATAACTCTTCCACTAGATAATAATAATAGCAATTACTGAAATTTAAGGTGCCAGCCATGTTACTAAGTTCTTCAAATACACTATGACACTTAAACCTCAAAACAATCCTGATGTATCCCCAGTGCTTAGAATAGTGCCTGTCACTACAGAGGTACTCAGTAAGCATTTAGTAGTGAATGGGCAAGCCTGTGAACAAGGTATTATAACTCTGTGTTACAGATGAGGACATTAAGGATAAGAAAATGAAATAACTTGCTCAGGTTTATATTACCAGCAAGAAGGAGAGGCAGAATTTGAAGACAGGTCTAGCTGATTGACTCAAAAGTTTATGCTTTGACTCTTTGTACACACAGCCTCACCTAAATTCTCAGAGCCTCAGTTTATTATTAGGAAAATAAAGATATTTCCACAAGTGATCTCTAAGGGCCTTTCTAAATTAAATAAATTAATGACCAATCTGTGAAAAATTAACATCAAGCACAGACTTGAGAAGTGGGTATGAAACCCCAGTGGTGATATGTTTTTTCCACCTTGGAAAAGTTGGCAAGATTTCTGGATTTGTTGCTGAGTGTAAAAAGTGAGCCTGAGTCTTCTACAGATCTATATAATCTCTCACCAGCAGTTCTAAAGTCCAAACAGCTAAACACTAAAACCTTTTAAATACTTTTGTCTGCAAAACCTGTCCTGACTTGAACTTATCTGAGTGCAAACACTAACCTGAACTGATGTGAGGCTATTTCTAGTGTTTATTCATCACACATGTGGGCATTTGTTTGATTTGCTGCCAAAATATTAATATATTAGGCCATGAGATGCTACATCCACTCCTTGAGAGAAGAGGGCTAGAATGTGCATGCATTAGACAATTTATGCAATATATACCTTTTTATAAGCCTAAACAATTCTAAATCATAAACTCTATTTGGTCAGTGGCTTTGGGATAAGAAGTAGTGGACGTGCTCATGCTCTGATGGCTACAACTATAGTCATTGGAGGAAGAGAGAGCCAGAGACAGGCAAACTTTTAGTTTTAAGGGTGCTGATTTCAAGATATCAGGGCATCTGCTATAGATGTGTTTTCTTATTTGTAAAAAGGAAGAACACCGGAAATCATCATGGTGTGTCCCCTTCTGAAAGAGCTAGAATCCCTAGGAGTGAAAGTACGTTCTAGTGACCCCTAAAACAGAAAGAAACTAAAGTCATCCAAAACCATTTAAATCACACTCAGCTTGTCTTTGATATATCTACATTCTGTTTCTGACTTGTACCTATATTTTCCCCAAATCTCTCCTGGTTTTAGAGTCATCAGGGCATTTCAAGGTAGCGTAATAATAAAAAGGAAGAAAGAAACCCACACCTTGCACCTATTTACAACCTCCTGGTTTTATTAGATTTTTACTCACATTTTCCTATTGAGTATTCATATAAAAAGGTAGAGAAGAAAAAAGAAGAGTTATTATAGCTCCATTGAAAAGATGGAGAAATGTACGCTTTTCAGGTTAAGTGACTGGCCATTGTCACACAACTATTTAGTGGCAAAAGAGGGACTGGAATTTGGAATCTAGATTCCTAACTAAGTGAATTTCCCACTTTATGAAATGACTCTTGAACTTAACTTCCATTATCTGAATGTGGTATACCTAGGATATTTCTCTTTTCAAATAGGTGTTATATAAAAAGCATACTCGATATTCCACAATATCATGGAAAAAATAATAGAAAATTTATATGAGATGATAGTGCAGTGTGACTCACAAGATTTCCTGACTGCTTCCCAAAAAGATTTTCCTAGTTTATTCAAGACACAGAACAGACTTCCTAAAATGGCAGTGTTAAAATTCCTGTATGTCTTCTTTGAGAATCTGGAGACTAGCCAAACATTCATTTTGATACTGCTGGAACTAATGCTGTACTTTATAAAATGGGTCACAGCGTGCTCCTGAGATGTCTTAAAGGCACGATGGGCTTTGACTAGTGTGCTTGGAGCTGCCTTTTTTGCACACGGACTGACTTGAGTAGTCCCTTGGCAGCCTTCACCTGGGCATACACACAGCAGTCAGGCTCCCAGGTGATTATGTGTGTGTGCTGCAGCGTCCCAATATTGAACTTCCTTTCATCTTTCTTGTCAACTTTTAGTCTCCTTCCTTCTTTTCATTAACAATAAATAAATGCATCGATTTCTGTATCTTTTTGCTAAGGATATGAGGGTATGCCATGGACAGAATTATTCCCCTCAACACTTCACAAAATTTCATGAGAAGCCCTAAGCCCCAATGTCTTGACATCTGGAGATGAGGTCTTGGGAAGAAAATTAGACTTAATCAGGTCACAAGAGTGAGGCCATTATAATGAGAATTAGTGCCCTTATGAGAAGAGACGCAAGACAGCTTGCATGCTCATGCTCCACCTCCACCCTCCTCTGTCTTTCTCCCCAATGTGAAGATACAGTGAGAAGGAAGCCATCTGCCAGCCAGGAAGTGAGCCCTCTTTACCAAAACCTGACCATACTAGCACCCTAAATCAGACTTTCAGCCTGCATAGTATTTTATTACAGAAGCCTGAGATGACTAAGACACAGTACCTATATAGCATTGTAAATGATACCTCACTGGAGACACTGACAGTAATTGATGCCTTTATACTCTTAGAAACTTCAAATATGTTACAATAAGTTATTTGTTAAGTACTTAACTCTGGTTTAATAGTATGCATTTTCTAGATTTATTAAGAAAATAACGTGACAGGGTTGAAAATGAACATATTACTAACCTAGAAATGCAAGAAACTTAACTGAGAGAGCATAATCTAGTTTGTGTTAAGTTGTAGAAGAATGACTTAAACTTTTCTATAAAACATGTTTCTCAGTAAACTATCGCAAGAATAAAAAACCGAACACCGCATATTCTCACTCATAGGTGGGAATTGAACAATGAGATCACATGGTCACAGGAAGGGGAATATCACACTCTGGGGACTGTGGTGGGGTGGGGGGAGGGGGGAGGGGAAGCATTGGGAGATATACCTAATGCTAGATGACGAGTTAGTGGGTGCAGCACACCAGCATGGCACATGTATACATATGTAACTAACCTGCGCAATGTGCACATGTACCCTAAAACTTAAAGTATAATAAAAAAAATAAATAAAAAAAAAACATGTTTCAAATTCTCCCAAATTACATGGTCTCTTTTGGGATAAATACTCAGTCAATTAACAGCCCAACTCCCTCTCTAGTTGTTTTCCTACCTTTGTAGGTATTTAACAAACTTAGAACCATATTTGGGAGTCACTTTCACCAAGTTAAACTGTTTTGAGAAATTATTTTTTCAAGCTAAACTCCTGGCTTCATATCGCTTTCTTTTACTTCTCACTGCCTCCTTTTCCCAACATTCTCTTTCAAAAATCTAGTTTATCTTGCTGTATCATATGCATCTTTACAAACCAGTTTATTTCCTTTTAGGAACAAGGCAGGACACAAATAAAAATAATGATAATTAAATAAACTAATTAGCCAGCCTCAAGGTACTCTGCTAGAAAGAAATAATAATGCAGATTAATTATTCATGAATGTGGGAAATAGCTGAGAAAGCCTAGATTCATATATTGAAAAAGCCCAAGTATATCGAATCACGAAGTTCTGCAACATGGAAACTATAAATAGGGGGTGATAGGAACAAGGCAGTCCAGGATCATTTGTAGATGTTTATTCTAGAATGTATGAGCTAGAATAATCACTGCCTCACAATAGCATAAATTAGTTAGGCATTACTTTTTGATGGCTTCTTCATATTTTGAACACAAGGATTCTTATAGTAGAGCCCCAAACAAAAACACTGGTTAACTCAGGTTAAAACAAATCATTAAAATTGCCCATTATGTTGCATAGAGAACTACCAGCAAATATCTGAATACATTTGGAAGCAGATTAAATTATTATATGAGTGTCACTATACCAGCACAATATAGAGATCTCCTATTCTATTAAAAAGAAACAGTTTATAATATATTTTAATGCCACCTACTAATACTTACTTTGAGAAAAATAAATATTATTTTTTCATTATTTACCAAACTGATGCAAAAATGAATTTTTATAAACTTTTATTCTATCTTTTTCTTGCTAACATTCTGACTGAAATAACAAGATGAGTAAGAAATTCTTCATGGGGAAATTAGCCTCTTTAGATTTCCATTATGATATTTCCAAAGGTAATTTTATTTTTCATTTGGGCTATTGATATATTCTTAAAACTTCCAGATAAATTTGGAAATTTAGCAGTATTCATTGGGCAACAATATTTTGTTGATGTTTGTTTTTCAAATTATCTAAACCAAAAAGCTTATTTAAGTTCTACTATCCCAGGTTTCTATGTAGAACTAGAAATTGTTAGTCCAAATTTTATTTAAAAATGATTTATAAAGGATGATTCGACTCTATCTTTGAAAACAAATAATTTCCAGTTTGAATAATGATATGTTAATTAAATTAAAATTGATTAAGTCAGGCGGCATTACATATTTGCTAGTGCTTCAATTTTAGTCAGGAGAGGAATGGATATGCTTTAATATTCAAATGCCACTGTCATGTTTAAATTCATTGCTGTGCTGTGGAAAGAGAAACAACAGAAGCAGCTGTGTGCTCCCACCGCATTGAGCAGAGAATTCAATAACTCTCAGAGTAGGCAGGATTAGCTACTCACTGTCAAACACAGTTGCCCAATTCTGTGCAGCAGATTTTTTTAATATTCCATTTTGGAATACTAAAAGGTTGAAATATGTAAAATATGCAAACATTTCCATTTGCAAGTCACAATGAGAACACAGATGCACAGGTTCTATTTAGCATTATAGCTTTACTGGTTGAACTCAACTAATTTACTAGAGGTATTATCTTTATTAATAACTGAATAATAATTTATTAACAAAAACAAGTTTCCGAACATAGTACTTATTTTTAATCAGTGAGAAAACTTTGCTAAGCTTTTCACCTTTACTAATTGGATACTCTGACTTTTCTTGAAGATTATACCAACAGACTCCATTAGCCTTCTAGACAATGAGTAAAAACAGACTATGCAGTTAAGCCTTCAGGAGTGCTAGCCCAGGAGCATGCTGAAAAATACTACATTAGAAATAACCTGACAGTGATAACTTCAGGGCAATTGGGGAACTATTTTCAGCTTAGATCCAAACTGAAAATTAGCTTTCTCGCCAAAAAGCTACATTTTAGAAAACTCCCACCTGCATATAATATGGGTGAGAAAACACAGAGGCAGCAGAGAGAAGGAGCCATGTGAACAACAACAAAAAAGGTGGTTATATTGGGCTACTGACAATGTCCAGCACAGATACCATTTGTCCGATACAAATATCATTTGAGAAGCACGTACAGTATAATTTTATTCCTAGTACTTATCTTCCTTTCCTTTACCCATTATTTAAAAGGAACACAAAACAATGTTAAAATTACTATAAGTACCTAATATCAGATCTTTCCAGTAAAACTATGTGAAATATATATTGTGAGGCCTTCATGAGTACAGCTTGGTGGGTCCGATTACCTTTGTACTTTTTAGAACTTTTTGCCTAGGCTTAGCCTGAGTGAGGGTAAGGGGATGAAAGAGTGAATGTGCAATTTTCATTCTTCTGTCAGGGTTTCTCTGTAGTCACTATCCTCTTCCTGCATAGGTATTAAGGCTGAATTTGTCTACACATCAAACATGTACCTAGGAGGAATATTTGCTCTGTGCCATCAGCAGTGTAGAAACTAGAATAACCAGGTGAGTGTCTGCAATGTCTGTTCACTTCACAGAAACTCAGAACAAGCAGGCCTGTGTTCTTCTTGCAGCCTCAAGAGGGAGCAGAGGAAAGAGGGCTATGAGTGTTCTCTTAGACACAACAGCAAGTAACAAATAAATGCAAAGGGAAATTTTGCTTAATTAGCTTCAAATGTCTCAAACATTATAGATAACCATGTGATAAATGTATAACAGTAAAAAGATAATATTGGGAAGTTTAGCAGAGTACAGCATCAGCTATTATTAATCTGATGAACTTTTCATTTGTAACCTTTGAAAATACTACTACCATAAAGTGACACATGGGGACAAACCCCTGCAGAAGACATCGTTAGGATTTTAAAGTGTACAAAGATAGACAACAGTAATAATTTGGAGCCCTAAACTTTTTTGTTAATAAGAATTTTAAATAAATTATAGTGGGATGGACACATATTCTGTTTTAAAATAGAATGCATACTCCTAAAAGTTTTTTTGTAAATAAAAAGTATATTTTAACACTACCTAGTTATATTAAGAAATGCTATAAAAATCACTTTGGGAGGGTAATTATACTTCATTAATTTAGTTTCATTTCCACTTCTAAGCCTTATTTTATTACTTGTTTAAGCCTTATTTTATTATTTGTTTATATAGGGCTATCATTTGTATTTAAGAAAAGGTATTCCAATATACTATATAGAGCAGCTGAAGAAGAATAAAGCTGGCTCAGAATCCCTGGATGAGTTTCTGCTGTGGTCGTGTTTCAGTAATTGGGACTAGACTTGCCATCTGCCCATAAATATCTAGAAAACTAAGCATAATAGATAACACATCTGTGTCCAAAAGTGGGACAACAGTCAGTGTGAACTATGACCTGTGAGATAAGGGAAACAAATGAGGAGAGGCCTACAATTGCCCTTGCTCTCTGCCTGGAGGCACTCTCTAGAACACAGTGTGGGATGGGAATACAAAACAGAACATAAGGGTCTCACTAATGAAAAACAGAGCAGAGCAGGGGGAGGCAGATCTGGCTACAGTTTAGAGGATTTAATGTCAGAGAGAAGGGAGCTCTGCAGAGCTCCAGAAATCCATATAAGGATCTCCTTGAGGCTGTTGCTAAATATTAAGCAAAATTTATGTGGGGATTAACTCCATGAGGTCAGGCAAAAAAATAATGTAGGAGTTGTGTACCAAACAATTCCCAGAGCTCACTGGGTAATGTTGAAGTCTGACCACTCAGACTGCCAAGTCTTCATCTGAACATCAAGGGTATCCTGTAGATACCTAATGACAGTTACTCCTTAGTAACTGTTGTTAAGTGTTGTAAGCAGTTTCTGAGATGCTTCCAATGATTCAGACCTCTTAATATTCATGAACTTTTGTAATATTTTCCCATCAAGTGCTAGTGGGACATAGAACTTGTTTGTAGAGAATAGAATACAGCAAATGTGATGAGATGTTACTTTTGAGATTATATTAGAAAACAAAACAATGCTGGTTTACATTTTACTTGCCTTCTCTCTTGCTGACTTGTTCTGATGGAATCTAGCTGCCGTATTGTGAGCTGCATTATGAAGAGAACCATGTGGCAAGACACTGAGGGAGATCTCCAGCCAACAACAACTCATAAGCAACTAAATCTTGTGATGAACCACTGGAGTCATCTGGAAAGAGGATCCTCTCACCTTCAATCTTTGAAATGGCTAGAGCTCTGATGACAGTTGGATTACAGCCTTAGGAGAAACAGAGAGCCGGGGAAATTTGTGCCCAGGTTCCTTTCCCACAGACATTGTCAGATAATAAATATCTCTGCGTTTTTAAGCTTCTATGTTCTGGGATAATTTGTTATGCTGCAATAAATAACAACCTGGAAGTGAGGTGCTGCCATAGTAAATATCTAAATATGGATCATTAACTCATGTCTAAACTAGCCTTAGAATAATAGCTACTCTAGACTTGTTAGCAGAACTTAAAACAAGCCTTAAGAGAACCAAGCTGATCCAGAAATAACATACATTAGCGGATTAAAATCCAACTTTCCTTAAAGAGTGATAGAAAAAGTAAAATACACAATATCTAACATTCAATCAAGAATTACTATTGAGAACATGGAAAAACATGACCCATAAACGGGAGAAAATTTAGTGAATAGAAACAGATCCCAAGATGATAACAATAATAGAATTAATAAACAGGACTTTGTAAACAACTATGATAAATATGCTTGACTGTTTAAAGAAAAACATGAAAATAATAATGATGAGAGGAATTAAAGATATATAAAAGGACCAAATAGAACATCTAGATTTTTATTTAACTTAGGCACTATATGAAGTTAAAGATACACTAGGCAAGACACTGTAGAAGATAAGATAGATAAACTTGAAGACATGGATCTCAAATTTTTCTAAACTGACTTTCTTATGGGGACAGAAAAGACCAAGAAAATATGAACAGTGTCTCCTTAACTTTTTATACTGCCTCAGTGTCTCAATTACTTGTAATGATATGAAACAGTCCAATGTATGTATCACTGGAGTCCTGGAAAGAAAATGAGGGACCAGAAAAAGGTTAAAGAAATTCTAGCCTAAATTATTCCAAAATTGGTAAATACAACATATACTCACTTTGTAGAAGCTCAATGAATTTCAGTTGAGCTAAACAGCAAACAGACAAAAAAACAACCCCACCAATTCTCAAAAGCAAAAACAGAAAAAGCTATAAGCACATCATAATCAAATTATTAAATACTAGCAATGAATGAAAATCTCTTACACAAGTCAGAATATAAAATGCAAATTATTTAGAGAAGGAAAAAGATAACCTATGACAGAAAATAATTAAATAACATCTTCAGAAAACCATGGAACACTGCTAAGAGAAATCACACATGACACAAAAGAAAACACATACCATGCTTATGGATGGGAAGAATCAATATTGTGAAAATAACCATACTGGCCAAAGCAATCTGCAGATTCAATGCAATTCCCATCAAAATACTACCATCATTCTTCACAAAACTAGAAAAAACAATCTTAAAATTCATATGGGACCAGAAAAAGAGTACATATAGCCAAAGAAATACTAACCAAAAAGAACAAACCTTGAAGCATCACATTACTGAACTTTAAATTATATTACCAGGCTATAGGTACCCAAACAGCATGGTACTAGTATAAAAGTAGGCACATAGACCAATGGAACAGAGTAGAGAACCCAGAAATAAAGCCAAATACTTACAGCCAACTGATCTTCAACAAAGCATACAAAAATATAAGTGGGAAAGGACACACTATTCAACAAATGGTGCAGGGATAGTTGGCAAGCCACATGTGGGAGAATGAAACTCTATCCTCATCTCTCATCTTATGAAAAAATAAACTCAAGATGCATCAAAGACTTAAATCTGAGACCTGAAACCATAAACATCCTAGAAGATAACATTGGAAAAACTCTTCTGGACATTGGCTTAGGGAAAGACTTCATGACTAAGACCCCAAAAGCAAATGCAAGAAAAACAAAAATAAGTAGTATCTAATTAAACTAAAAAGCTTCTGCACAGCAGATAGTCAGCAGAGTAAACAGACAACCACAGAGTGGGAGAAAATATTCACAAGCTGTGCATCTGACATCTGACAAAGGACTAGTATCTAGCATCTACAAGGGACTCAAACAAATCAGCAAGAAAAAACAAAAACAATCCTATCAAAAAGTGGGCAAAGGGCACGAATAGACGTTTCTCAAAAGAAAATATACAAACAGCCAACAAACATATGAAAAAATGCTCAACCTCACTAATTATCAGGGAAATGCAAATTAAACCATAATGAGATACCACCTTACTCCTGCAAGAATGGCCATAACTAAAGAGTCAATAAACAATAGATATTGGTATGGATGTGGTAAATAGGGAACATTTTCACACTGCTGGTAGGAATGTAAATTAGTACAATCACTATGGAAAGCAGTATGGAGATTCCTCAAGGGACTAAAAGTAAATCTACCATTTCATCCAGCAATTCCATTACTGGGTATCAACACAAAGGAAAAGAAGTCATTATATGTAAAAGACACATGCACATGCATGTTTATAGCAACACAATTTGCAATTGCAAAGGTACGGAACTAACCTAAGTGCCCATTGACCAATGGGTGGATAAAAAAATGTGGTATATTTATACCATAGAATACTATTCGGCCATAAAAAGGAACAAAATAATGTATTTGGCAGAAACTTGGATGGAACTGGAAGCCATTATTCTAAGTGAAGTAACTCAGGAATGGAAATCCAAATACTGTATGTTCTCCTTACAATCGGTAGCTACCTTATGAGGATGCAAAAACATACAGAGCAATATAATGGACGTTGGGGACTCAGTGGGAGAATTGGGGAGAGTGAGGGATAAAAGACGACATATTGGATACAGCATACACTGCGTGTTTGATGGGTGCACTAAAATCACAGAATTTACCCTAAAGAACTCATCCATGTAACCAAAAACTACCTGTAGCCCTAAAACTAAAGAATTTTTTTAAAAAATAACATCTTCAAACTGTTAAAAGAAAAAAAATATCGATCTAGAGTTCCATACTCTGCAAAAATGTACTTCAAAAATAAAGACCAAAAGAAGATTTTTAAAACAAACAAATGCAGAAGTTGTCACTAGCAGACTTTTACTTCAGACAACAATAAATAGAACTCTTCAGGTGTAAGGACAATGATTCCAGATGGAAACTTGGATTTACTGAAAGTAATAGTGTTGTGATTGGTGAATATGTTACTAAAAATAACATTGAGTCATTTTTTTATTTTTAATCTTTATAAAAAATGACTCTTTAAAACAAAAATAATAGAGTGTATTGTGAAGTTTGTAACATGTATAACATGTATAAAAACAAAAGCACAAATAGGAGATGTAATTATATGTAACTTTTAATATATTACATGTGAAGTTGTATAACATTATTTGAAGTCAATGTGACAAGTTAAAGATGGACAAATCCTAAAACCCTAGAACAACAGCTAAAAATGAAACAAAGTGATTGTTATAGTGAATCAGAGAAAATAAAATGGAATATAAAAAGCTATCAAGATGTCAAAAAGAGAGGGAAAGAGGAAAAATAGCAGAGGTATAAATACACAACAAATAACAAAGTAATAGCTTTAATCTCAATGATATCTGTAAATTAGATGAAGGAAAATGGAATAAAGGCTGCAATTAAAAGGAAGAGATTTCCATGCTGGATAAAATTGCAAGACCCAATTATATGCTGGCCACAAGATACATGTTTCAAATATCAAGGCACATATAGGTTAGTTAAAAAATATAAAATTCATATATATTTTCAGCATGTATCTATGTATCCCTAATTGTGTATGCCCCTAATAATAGAACTTCAAAATGCATGAAGCAAAAGGTGACTGTACTGAAAACACCATTAAAAATACACAGTTATTTGTGGAGATTCAACAATTCTCTCTCAGTAATTGGCAGAACAAGTCAATGTTAAAAATCAATAAAAGTAAAGAAGGTTTGATCGATGTAAGTTAATTGATATTTGTGGAATTTTCTATTCAGCAACAGAAGAATATACATTCTTCTCAATTGCAGACGGTCCACCCACCAAGATGGACCCTGTACTGTTCTGTAAAACATGTTTTAAGAAAGTTAAAAGACTGAAACTGTACAAATTATGTTCTGCACATAATAGAAATTATATTCTATATGTGATAAAATTTAATTTTAAATTAACAGCAGAAAGGTATCTAGAAAATTCCCAAATACTCTAACATTAATCAGTATACTTCTAAATAATCACAAGTCAAGGGAGATTCACAAAGATAGTATGAAGTATTTTGAATTGAATAAAAGAAAAACATACAATGTCAAATTTGTAAGATATAGCTAAAACAATGCTTAGAGGGACATTTAAGGCTTTAAATGATTATATTAGAGAAAAAGAAAGGTCTACAATATTCTATATTGACATCTAAAGAAATGAGACAAAGAAAAGAAAAATCAAATTCGAAGTTACTGGAATAAAGAAATAAGATAAAAAGAAACAGACAAAACAACAAAAAAGAAATGAAAAGGTGAGTGTAGAAATTAATGAAATAGAAAACAAGTAAATAATGAAGTCAGTTATGCCAAATAATTTTTTAAAAGCTTAAAATAAATTTCTGGTTAGACTGGTAAAAACAAAAGAGTGAAAATACAAATTATTAGTATCAAAAAGACAAGAAAGAGCATTACTTCAGATCTTGCAGCTATTAACAAGACTCTAAGAAAATATTATGAGTAACTATGTCAATAGTTTTGACAAATTAGAGAAAATTTTAAAATTATTGGAAAGACAAATTATCAAAATGGATAAATCTCTAAATAATTTATACAAAAGGATTAATATATTCTGTATTAAATTTTGTCATGAAAAAATGGTAAAAAGTTGAAGCCTTTTTGGCACTGATATCTGTAAGTTACTAGTTTAAGATTACACTTTCTAACTGTGTTAGTCCACTCTCACACTGCTCACACTTTTATTAAGAACTATCTGAGACTGGGTAATTTATAAAGAAAAGAGATTTAATTGACTCGTAGTTCTGCATGACTGGAGAGCCTCAGGAAACTTACAATCAAGGCAGAAGAAGGAGAAGCAAGCATGTCTTTACCATGGCAGATCAGGAAAGAGAGAGAGTAGAGGGAGAAGTGCCAGACACTTTCAAACAACCAGATCTTGTGCTAACTCACTCACTATCACGAGCACAGCAAGGGGATAGTCCACCCCCATGATTCAGTTACCTCCCACCAAGCCCCTCTCCTGACATGTTGGGATTACAATTCGAGATGAGATTTGGGTGGGGACACAGAGCCAAACCATATCACTAACTTTGTAGGTGAAATAATGCATATGTTGTTATATACATAATTGATACTCAATATCATTGTTTACTAGGGACTATAAAGTATAGCTATTATAGGATACCAGTACACAGCTAATAGAATAGTTGCAATTAAAAAGACTGACAATAGCAAGTATTGGAGAGTATATGGCACAACTGTGACTCTCATACGTTCCTGGTGGATGGTAACGTGGTACAGCCAGGATGGAAAACAATCGGTGATCTATGCTTGCCATGTGATCCATCCATTCCACTCCTAAGTATTTATCCAATAGAGATGACAATATGTGTTTGCACAAGTGTTTCAGCCCAGAACTGGAAACCAACAGGTGGATGGATTAAGTGCTTTATTCATATTAGTTCCAAAATGGAAACAGGGCAAATATCTATCAAGTGAATATATAAACAAACTGTTGTACATGCAATGGATAAATATATTGTGGTGCATATAATGGAATATTATTTATAAATAAAAAGAGAATAAACTTCTGATACATGCAACATGCATATATCTCAACACGCATAAAAATGTTTTGCTGAGAGAAAGAAGCCTGATGCAAATGAGTATACAGTATTGAAATTCAATTGTATGAAATTCTATAACATGTAAGTCTAATCTTTAGTGACAGAAAGAAGATCATTGTTTACTGGAGCCAGGGTTGCAACATAGGGATACTTACTGCAAAAGGGCTCAAGGGACATGTTCTGTTTCTTGATTGTGTTGTATCCAGTGTCAAAAGCAATCAATATGTATGCTTAAAATGCATGCACTTTATTGTGTATAAAATATGGCTTAATAGAGTTGACAGAAAACTTTTTTTAAAATAGAAAAAGAACAAGTTCCTGGAATATTTTCTTAGTATTCAAATGTTTTAATACATTGGAAAATAAGACAAAAACTTTAAGAAATTAAAGAATACAAAATCTATATTCTATAAACAAGACATAAAAACCCTAAATATATTTGTGTTTATGTTATATTAAACATAAGGATCAGTATGTGTTTACTTTTCCATAATCAAATACCATATAGAAAAATGAAAATTTAGTAAATATGACTTTCTCTTCTTAGTAAAAAAGATGCAAGGAATAAAGGAAATAAAGAGAAGGAAGTGAGAGAAAATGAGTGGAAAAAAACGAGGTGGTTTTGGGTTATATGGTCACAGTGTCTAACATAGATGCTATAGTGCTCAAAAATCCTTGAATTTGCGGGCAATAAAAAGAAAAATCATTGCTTGGGTCAGTGGCCTAAAGTAAAACATTGATTTTCAAATTTTGTTATGTTGTCTGGGGACTATACCTAAAATTGCTTGTATAAGTCTCATGTATCCCTTTGCTGTAGAGAGTCCAAAGACAGAATGTCTTACTCAGAGGAAGAAGAAGTCATAAGAAACGTATTTAGCCTACGGAGGAAGTCTGGAGCAGAGTTTTGCCAAAGTGGGGTCCTCACATGGTGGGGAGATGGAGATGATACACTGGGATTTGAAAAAAAAATTGGAAGTTTATTTGTATCTATTTTATCTACAATTTTAAATTAAGCTTTTTAGTAGATCACATACTGGTTGACCATTATTATTTTATTTTCCAAATGTGAATGGTTTTGGGCAGATTACCACAGTAACCACCACCTCTGAAGGATTATACCTTTCTGCTTCTCTTATCTTCTTTACCTGTCTGGGCCCCAAAGGAACCTGACTTCCACTGTGGGGACATAGTCAATGAATGAATCATTGCATTTTGTGGGGGTGGGGGGCAGTGAGGTTTTTCTAGCCTAGAAAAGAAGAAATGGAATGTATTTTTCAGATGCAGATTTTTCTTACTAGAATGATTACTCAAAAGCCAAACATAGCTCTTTGAACCGAGATTGCAAAACTGGGGAGCACATACACATCATAATTTCTTCGGTGGAGGCAACTCAATTTTTTTAAGGTTCATATAGGAAATTCTTCCCATGGGGCTTCAATTTTCAAAGCAGCTTCCCCGTTGGGGAGTCCATCTGTTTATCTTTGATGAATAAAGAGAAGCCTGAATAGCGATTTAGTACACAAGGAAACAGGAAGAAGGAGCTCATTCTCTAGAATTAGGAACTTTTAGAAAAAGTGAGGCAAGTCCAAAAATATGTTTTAAAGTGTCTGTGAATCATTAAATTATGATCTGTAAAATCTGTATAAAATTTCACTTGCTATCTCAGTTTGCTTTGAATTGTAATCAATGTTCTTAAGTGTATCAGCATCCTGACTTTGTAGTTTCTAGAAAGAAATCATTTAGTAGAATCAGGAAAGCACATTTCTGCATTCAATAGCTCTTTACTTAAATGCACACAGCAGTTTTCAGAAGTGACTTTTCCTCATTGCCTATATTTGCATAACGTTTATTGCCAGAAAGATTATTTAAAAGCAATGAAAGTTTGAATTTCGGGGTGTGCTCTTTAATCAAGGCTGTGTTTATACATCTGGAATCGTTTGGTTATTCAGAAAAGTCTAATATGTTGCATTATTTTCTGTGAATTTTTACCAATAAGTTATTTCCAAAAAATGAAAAATACAAGTTTTGGAATAATGCATTTTAAATTTGTAGTGTATATGCATTCTTAGACTATTGCTTATTTGAATTGATGAGAGTTACATAATTGGTCTAGAAGGAGGCTTGTCATCTTGTCAAGCAGAGGAAGAAAGAGATTTGGAATCATGAATAAAAGACATTTTATTCTTGGCTCTTCATTTACTCTTTGGAAAGTCTTAGGCAAATACATAGTTTTCTTTTCCATCTATAATCCAAAATGCAAATAGAGCAATAATATTGTTCATCAGACATAAAAGAGATTTATCTTGCATTATTTTAATTCTCCAAAAATGGAAACATCATGCAAGGCTTTAAATAAATCCCTGCAATTTCTAATCTATTTTTGCATATATAGAGAATTCAACTGTTGTTCCCATTTACTTTTTTTTGTTTTTATCTGAAAATACACGAAATCAGAATCTTACATTATAGAGCATTAATAATGAAGCTCCAAAATTAAAGTTATATATATTTACTTAAATATGTGCCATCAAATTTGTTTTCTAAATCTGGGGAATGGAGTAATTCACTCCACAATTCTCAAAATTGTTCCCCAAATTTCCTTCTCTCCATAAACGAATGAAACTACTATTTGTTATGCAGCATTAGAACTGGTGCACGGTCCAACAGAAAGGCAGCTGATTGACTGACTATATTTATCAAGGAATGTTTTATTTTATACATAAGGAAAAGAGTAATGATTGTAAATAATAAGCACTAATCTTTTAACCTTTGTTTTTACTTTCAGAATTCTCACATCTATATCTAATAAATTTCCTTCAATGTTACTACTGACTGTAGTCTTCATGAAATATATCAGTAGAGAGTGTAGTTATTCTGTAAGATTTTGTCCTGGGTTTACTTTGTTCAAAATAGATCTGGAGAAATGATACTATCTCATCTGTGTGATTTCTCACTAACAAAGCTAAAAACTCGTTTTTCAAACTCACAAAAACATGTATACATACAGTTCCCCATATTTGTCTCATACATTCCTGCACTACTAAGCCACCCCAAATTTCAACTTCTGTAGAATGTCTTCCTTATTTGTTATATAAATCAGCAAACATTTATTTGATGCATATATATGTGTATGTATTCAAGACATTAGGTTTTGAAAATATATCTATTTTCTTTGACTTTAAATGAAGAAATATAATTATCTGCCAAAAATATTTTCTATAACAAATATAATCTCAAAGCAGTAAGTACCCAGTTTAGGGTAGGAGGCTTTTAAACACATCTCTCTAATTTATTGGAAATTTCTTTCTTTTTGGAAAAGAAATCAAGTGAGAAACTCAACTATGTAACTAATAGATACAGCATATAGTTCTTACTTAAATTGTATAAGTGGTAAGTAGATATTTTCTAAACTGTCTTTGTTTTACAAATAAAGGATCATGGCTACATTAGTGTGTTGCACTCATTATCAACCGCTTTTTTTACTCAGATATTCATTCTTATATTTGGAAAGTGTGGCCTCTGTTTTCAAATTAATTTTTAACTAAATTTTTATTAATATATTTAAGAATTATTTTTTGATTTCCAAAATTTGCCTCCATGGATAAAAAGGATTTTGATAAGCAGGTAATGGGGGAAGAAATCTCAGTGAGACAAAGGACTCGAAACTCTATTACCGTCTCCAGAGTGGCCTCTTCATGGTACAGATTCCTGCTGATTCTCACGCCTGTCTAGATCAATCTTTTTCTATCCTGACACTAAAACAACTCAGAAGTTCTCTATGGAATGAGAATGAAAATAGCTTCACAGAACTTGGAATAGTGCGTGCCTCGTTGTAGACATTATAGAAATGGCAACAATTATTGATAAGTTTCATTATTATTCAAATATCAACTACATATATGTACACACCTTTCCTTCCCTTCTGCCAAAGTTCCATTGTGAAATCCAGTTCTTTGGACTAAACTCCTTGTTTCGTTCAGAAAAGTGATTTCTCTCTCAGGATTTATTATAATCCATGTCATTAAAACTGGATTCTGTCACATGGGGTTTCTCAGTCTCTCATGCATGTCTATAGACACGTGAAGACCCGTGGAGAATAGAATTGACTAATTTTATCTTTGCCTTTTGCTTGACTGTTTTATCTTTCTGTTTTTAGTAATGTGTTTTCATTAGTTCAGCTACTCTTGTTTGATATATTCTAAGGTTTTAAATTGATTAGAGTCAAGCCTAATCTTGACTCTGAATTACATCTGAACTTTACCATAATTTACTAAATAAATCAGTGTTTCTCAACTCTACTGCTTGTTAGGATCACCTGGGAAGCTTTTAAAAGCTACGTGTGACTTGGCCCCCACTCCTCCTATAGTTGGACCTGGATATTTTTAAGTTAGCCAGGTGATCCCACCTAAAAATCAGAGACAAAAACCAGTGAAATAATAAGCTCACTGACCAATCTCTTGTGGGCAAGATGCCAGTCATTAAGATACCATTCAGCTTTCTTAATGCAATCACTTAAGTTCTGTAAGTTCGTATCACATTTATCGATCATCTACCAATGAGAATTCGCTGTGCTCAGGACTGAAGGGACAAAAATAAGTCATGGGTTCAAGTGCCAAAGAAAGCATTTCTAATGTTTCTGTGGAAGTAATGTTTTCTGCTTTCATTTTTCCCTATCATACATACTCATACCCAACTTAGTTTTTGTATTGATGCCTGTGTGAATTCTAAGGCCAATCAACATTATGTCAAATGATTTGTAGCATTCTGACAGATGTTTATTATTCACTATTAAATGGTACCATTTGCCTACAAAAGGTTTTAAACAGGATAATGACAAAAACTTGAGCTGTTTTGTGGTTCACAAATGCAGTTTTGTGGTTAGCAAGAATGAAACCCAGAAGGTATTGGATTCTGGCCTTGCCTGCAGTGATTAGGTAGAGAAAGCAACTATAGTTGTCAGCAGACCCTTTCCAAACATAACATCAAATACCTCTCCAATGGTTGAGTAACAGAAGAGAGAGCTTAGATTGGAAACTCTGCAAAATGCTTTCAACAGTAAAGTTCTGTGATTCTAAGAATTTAGGTAATGTGTGGTCTAGACCTGATGGTCCAATGTGGTACCCAGTAGCTGCATATAGATGTGTCTACATATAATCTACACATCTACATCTACACAGGATCTATAAAAAATTTAAAAATCATTTTCACATTTGCACTAGCCAGATTTCAAGCATTTGTTAGGCACATGTGGCTAGTGGCTATATATTGGACTGCCCAGAACTGGAGCATTTCCATCATTACAGAAAGTTCTATTGAAAAGTACTGGTCAAGATAGATATTTTAAAACTCCAAGTAAAATAAATAGCACAATAAAGGGAAAATTCACATGTAGGTCTCTATAAGCTACTTTGCATTACTCCGTTTAAAATAAGAGGCATGTGATCAGTAGTAAGTCTTGACCTACTTTTCAATAACTGTAATTAATTTTCCTTCAACTGAAATTCCCTAGAATTACATTTACTATCCTTAACCATGAAATAACCATTGAAAAATGCCCAAATCTGCTTATATAAAAAAGGTACATACTTTCTAAATTTATCTGTATTATCAAGGCCATACTATTGTTTGTCTCAATTTTATTAAAACATCCCCCAAAAAAGTCAATTTTGGGGCCCTACGCCATAGCACAGGAGGTGATAAACTGCTTTTGCTAGGTCTGGCCCAAAAGAAGAGGCTGCGGTGATCATTTAAGGTCTATTTACATTGTGCCTGAACTTTCCATTTAGTCTGTATACAGGCATTTTATATATGACTTCTGTAACCACAGAAACAGTGCCCTTGTCTGCAAAGTTTCTCAAGTCTGACATGGGGTCAGATCCTGGACAGTGGTAAATAGCAGGACATGTCTGATAGAGAGTGAGCAATGACTGTTCAATTAGGAGATCAATAAGTTACTTCTTATACACATAAATGGTTGCAAATGAAAAATTCATGGATGTTTATCTTGTTTTTCAACACATTTAACCAAAATAAAGTCAATGGATACATGCTGAGCCAAAAGAGAGTAAATTTAAAATATAAAAGATATAGTGATATTTACCAGGTAATTCTTCTAAAGAAAACACACCCCCACCCTCAGGTCTGTAGGTAGTTCATTATCCGTGGCAGAGGATTTTGGTCTATCCTTTCTTATTCAACTATGTTGTTGGGAAGTTGCTGACTTTTAAGTATAACAATGTAAATGAAAAAAGCAATTGATAATTTTCATCTCTAATTCCTGTGATTCTACCATCCTACTGAAAAGGCCAAGAGATTAAAAACTAGCTGAATCACTGCATAATAAAAGCATCCGGCAACAGTGGGTGTAAGTACCATTTTAAAAGAAGGAATGTGAGTGGGAGAGCAGTGTAATTTCACTGAAGATGAAGTAGTCTTCAGAGCTGCACCTGTCAACAGAATCTGTTTTAAAATGTGCTTGCAGACAGAGTTTATATGGTTTAGCCAGTACCAAGAGAGGTGTTATTAACAGTGGATAATGGAAAATAATCTCTGAAAAGTATTTGCTCTTCTACTTGATATGCATTTTGTGCAGGATCCAACCAGAGTGGCATTTTATAATTCTCATGCTTTCATAATTTAATTATGTTGTATATTTACAGAGCTTACCAAGGATTTTATGATGTATTCAAAATGTTTTGCAGTGAAGAAAATTTTGATTTGTTCTAGTTTATTGACAATAAAGAAAAAATTTACATTTCAAATAAATTTATCTACATAGAGGGAGGAATAAGCAAATAGAGGCACAAGAGAATAGTGTAGGTGTCAGTCAGGGTAGACTCATTTGTGCTGTAACCAAAAATGACCCCAGATCTCATTGGCATATAACGAGGAACCATGAGTTCTCACTTACGTTACATGTTCATACTCTCAGGAGCCTGGCTCAGTGTCACCATCACCTGAGACCTAGGTCGCAGGAACAGCCCCATTGGAGACACTGCTAGGCTCAAGGGAAAGGAGAAATAAGAAGGTGGAGAACCATGTGATGGCTTGAAATACTGTTTGGAAATGATGCATGTCAATTCTCATAGTCCATTTGCCAAAGCCAGTCTCATGACAAACTGAAGTCAATGAGGTGGGAAGGTATAGTTCTCTATAGCAAGGGGCCCTGTAGGTGGAGCAGGAAACATTTTGAACAAATACTACTATGTACTATTGTTTTCAACTACAGTGTAGTTGAAAGCTTAGCTTTTGGAATCAGACAACCTTGAATTCAAATCCTGAAACAGCATGATTTTTTAAAAAGATAGTACATGCAAAATATGTAGGCTATTGTCTGCTACTTACAAACACTTAGTGTTAGCTCTTATTATAATCAAGCCCTGTTTAAAGGTTTTTTGATGCTTTTAGCTTCTTCATCACTATAATAAAAATCTTCAACATATTTGAAAAATAATTGTAGTTCTAAATATTTCCAGATGCCTAATGGAAACTAATGGAGCTATTAATTTCAAATACTCAATCACAATTCACATAACACTTTTTGCTCTTCATATTTTAGCAGGGATAGAGGAAGGGATTAGGAAAGAAATAGTATACATTGTCTTTTTTTTATAAGAAAAATGAAAAAATTTGAATTAATTGTAATACATTCTAATTCAAAAGTAGCTTATAGTCACATAAGAAAAGCTAGTTTTTTCACACCTCTATTAGAGTTTTATGATTAAGATTGTTTTTTAAAAATTTTTCAATTCCTACTAATTTAAGAGACTTAAAAATCTGGTTTTCTGCTACCATTCCAAATTCATTTCTTGTAGTACAAAATTAACAATCCTGAGAGTTATTAAACCAATATTAAAAAATTAATAATTCTAAAAGAGAACACATGATAAAGAACCCAGAGGTTACACCTGGATGTTTTGTTAAATGTCATAATATTAGTTCTAAAATTACTTTAGTATTGGTAAAATGGTGAAATTTTAATGACCAATATTCATAAGATTTCTTTGTCTGAATTTGACTAATTCAAATGACTGAAAAGTCTTTGAACTGTTATAGATTATAGTAATAATAAAGGTGAAAGAGGATGAGATACTTTTAAAAACCAAAGCATATCATTCTCACATTTAACATTTATAAGCAAAATTTTCACCGAAAAACTGCCATTTCTTTTTACTGACATTTAGGTTGATGTTTTCCTTTATTTTAGGGTCACTGATTAAATGTTTAATGTGAAAATGTTTCATACATTAAAATAAGGCAAAAATAACACTAGTGAATAAAATAATCTTACTTAAAACAAGCTTTGGTATCCCTTGGACTCCTTTCCAAACAAAGCAACAATGAAACAAACAACATTAAACTTTAGCTTACCTTTTAGAAAAACAGAAATTTAAAAGCGTATTTCAAAACACAGATAATTTACATTCCAAAAAGAGAAAAAAAAAACACCAAAGTGACCATCTTATTCAAACCATTTCCATTCAGTCACTTAAGCTTCAAGAAACATATGCCAAAATTTAGGCCTCTCAGTATTTAAGGTGTTGTGAAATGTAGAAGGTGTTATTTAATCTCTCTTGACCTCTTCCCTATGGCATTCCTCCCTCTGATGGTTTCTTGGCACCTCAGTTTAAATGTGACCACTGCTATAGTTTGAATGTGTCCCCTAAAAAGCATGTGTTGGAAACTGAATTCCCAATGCAACAATGTTGAGAGGTGGGCCCTAATGGGAAGTGTTAGATCATGAGGACTCCACCCTCATGAATGGGTTAATACCAATTACAAAAGGGTGGGCTTGAGGCTCTGAGCTTGACCTCTTGCTCTCTCTTGCTCTCTTGCCCTTCCACCTTCTGCCGTGGGATAATGTGACATAAAGCTCCAGATGCCAGCACCTTGATAATAGACTTCCCAGCCTCCAAAACTGTGAGAAATAATTTAATTTTCTTTATAAGTTAGTCTATGATATTGTGTTATAGCAATACAAAAATGGGCTAAGACAATCACCTTCTAGACCTTATTTCTGACCCTGGATTCCTTGCGGCATCATGGCTGTACCATGTAGATGTAGATGTCTATGCAAATGTCCCCAGACCCACACTATCCTTCTCCCTGCTCTACCCTGGACTCCCCTCCCTTTCTCTCTCTTTCTTTACTTCATTGCTGTTCTACTTTTCTCTCTTGTTCCTATCTGTGTGTCTGTCATTTTCTTTATCTTTTAAATTTATCTTTTGATATGAGAAATAAAGTCAAGTCAGAAAGGCCCAACCACAGAGAAGTAGTGAGATGGGGGAGTTGTCAATAACAGCCATAGGGACACATGGCGAGAAAGAACAGAAACAATTTCTTCACTCAGTGGAGTGTGTAATCAGCATAGCAATATAAGCTTGACTTCATTTGGCTTTCCTATATTGCAGAGTGGTGGGGAGATTTTAACATTTACTTTTTAATGCCTATTTTCTCCCTCAAATGTAGAAATAAACAAATCATGAAAGAGGGGTCCAATTCCAATACATCTTACTTATTAAATATCAAGTTCGATGATAGGATCTGACTATAAAAATGTGAATAAAGTATGTCCTTATCATCAGAGATATCTTATTATAACAAAAAGATAAATATGAATACAACTACTTTAATGAATGCACTGAGCATTACAAGAGAGGCATGAATAAGACCATAAAAACATACAAAAGGAATGATTCATTCATTTTTTATAATATTTATGTAGCATTTTGTGACTATATAAGGCTTAAAGTATCATTTGTTGAATGGTCTGATTTTATAAGCCATTAATTATATGTAAAATAATTTTCAATTCAGAAATAAAATGATTTCTGTCTTCATAGATCCTATATTTTAGTGGTGGAGGAGGACAGACAGCCAGATAAATACCTAGGTACATATTGTATTAAATGGTGCTAAATGCTCTGGGAAAAAATACAATCGAGAAAGAGGTTAAGGAATGTGTATGTATGGGTGCATAGGGTATTGCATTCCAGGAAGAGGACACAGCCCATGGGAAGGCTCTGAGGTTGGAGCAAGCAGGACTGACAGGGACCAGAAACAGCAAGGAGACCAGTATGCCTGGAGCAGAAGAAGGCATGAGAGCAATAGGAGATGAAATCAGAGAGCTAATGAGTAGTCAGATTGAAGAGGGCTTTGTAGGCCGTGGTGGAGAACTTGACTTTTACTTTGAGAAATGAGGAAAACCAGGCAGAGATTTTGGTCATGGTGTAACATAAGCTGACAGTTTTCAAAAGGATTACTTTAGCTGCTCTGTGGAGGATAGACAGAAGAGTGGGCAAGGGTGTAAGCAAGTAGACAATGAGAGGCCATTGCGATAAGCGTTAAAAGATATCACGGTGGCTTGGGCCAGGGTAGTGACAATGCAAGTCATAAGCAGATGTTGCATTCTTGATATTAAAGCTATTGATGCTCAGTTAAATTACTATTTTGATTATATATTTCTCTGACACAAATATAGTGATAGTTGACTTAATTTAGTCAATAAACAGTGTTAATCATTAGCATTTAGATATTTTAATATTTTTAATGACCAAACAGGGCTGATAATATGTGAATCAACCCAGTTCTCCATATTTGATCTGTTCTATGCATTCATAGGAAGAGTCTCTAATTTTCTGACTTCAGATGGTGGGCATGGATAGCTGCTGGGAGGGAAAGGTATCTACTGAGAACTGAAAAGATCTATACTCACATAGACTGTTGTCATCATTTGCATGACTTTGCAATTGGCTATCTTAATATGGCATCTCTTCACTTGTTACTATTTTCATTTTCATGACTAATTTCCAGAAACAATTGCCCCGCAAAATAAATGTTGCATATACAGAAAACATTAAACAATTATTTATGTGCTAAGACTCTCCCTGACACCCTCTTCTCAAAATCTGAGTCTGGCTCTATCACCAATCCTACACTGTTGCCTCATGATTCTTCCATTATAAGTAAACCCGTACATTGAAAGATACCTTAAACTATAAACCCAAAAGCCTCATAAAGTTCTCAGTGTTGCCTTGTCCTTCTGAGATTCCACTAATTCTCTCAAGACAATGTTCTTCATTACTGCAGCAAGTAATGATCTCAGCCTTGCCATATCAACAGTTATTAGTGGTGCTTTCAGGGAACCAGCATAGAATGTTTTGTCTAGTAATAGTGGAAATGGTAGAAAGAAAACCCTTTAAATTATTTGGTTTTCTGACAGACATTTACAATTAAAATCCATTGTATAATTACAAAAGTTGGAGTACCACAGAAGGATTTTGGTCATGTGTGTAACATAATCTGACAGTTTTTAGCAGAATGACTTTAGTTGCTGTGTGGAAAGTAAACTTAAAAATGCAGTGTGAAAGGAAGATGAATATTAAGATTTTTGGTCTTATCAAGTAGAATAATGGAGTTGCCATATACTGGGTGGGGAAGGCTGTAAAAGAAGCAGGTTTGGACTGGCGCAGTGGCTCATGCCAGTGATCCCAGCACTTTGGGAGGCTGAGCCTCGTGGATCACATGAGGTCAGGAACCTCTGCCTAGATTTCAGAGGATGTATGGAAACACCTGAATGTCCAGGTAGAAGTCTGCTGCAAGGGTGGCGCTCTCATGGAAAAATTCTACTCGGGCAAAGCAGAGGGGGAATGTGGGGTTGGAGCCTCAACATAGAGTACCCACTGGGGCACTGCCTAGTGGAGCTGTGAGAAGACAGCCACCATCCTCCAGACCCCAGAATGGTAGATCCACCAACAGCTTGAACTTTGTGCTTGGAAAAGCGGCAGGCACTCAATACCAACCTGTGAAAGCAGCTGCAGGGGCTGTACCCTGCAGAGCCTCAGAGGCAGAGCTACCCAAGGACTTGGGAGCCTACCCCTTGCATCAGCATGGCCTGGATGTAAGACATGGAGTCAAAGGAGATTATTTTGGAGCTTTAAGATTTAATGAGTGCCCTGCCAGGTTTTGGACTTTCATGGGGCTTATGGCCCCTTTATTTTGGCTGATTTCTCTTATTTGGAAAGGGAACATTTATCCAATACTTGTACCCCTGTTGTATTTTGGAAGTAATTAAGTGGTTTTTTTAATTTTTTTTTTTATTTTGGAGGCTCATAGGCAGAAGGAACTTGCCTTGTCTAAGATAAAACTTTGGACTTGCACTTTTGAGATAATGCTGGAATGAGTTAAGCATTTGGGGAAATGATATAGTTTGGCTCTGTGTCCACACCCAAATCTCATCTCAAATGTTAATCCCATGTGTTGAGGGAGCAACCTGGTGGGAGGTGATTGGGTCATGGGGGAGATTTACCCATGCTGTTCTCATGATAGTTCTGTATCTCATGACAGAGGGAGTTCTCATGAAATCTGATGGTTTAAAAGTGGCAGTTTCCCCTGCACTATCTCTCTCTCTCTCTCCTGTCACCATGTAAGACTTGCCTTGCTTCCCCTTCACCTCCTGCCATGATTTTAAGTTTCCTGAAGCCTCCCCAGCCATGTGGAACTGTGACTCAATTAAACCTCTTTTCTTTATAAATCACCCAGTCTCAGGTAGTTCTTTATAGCAGTGTGAAAATGGACTGATACACAAGATCTTCCCTCAGAGAAAGTATTTGATAGTTAATTATTTGAAAAAACCTGCTGGGGTTTTATCAAAGCCTAACGGACCTGGAAGAAGGGAAATACCCAACTTCAGCCCACTCCAGTTCTCCTGTCCCACCTAAGGGGAGAAAACACTGAGAAGCACTTGTGAAGTTCATAATCCAGAGGCAGAGGCTCACTGAAAGACTGAGACTTACTCACAAGACTATAGATAAAACATTTCCCCACCTCCCTCACCTTACCACCATGTTACTAAAGGACAATGAATGTCAGTTACTTTTAACCAATACATCATGTCCAGCTACCAAGAAAAAATTGTCATCAGGGAAAGTAGAATTAAGGGATCAGGATAATACACTGTAGTTTATTTGAGATAAGTGACCTTGAATTCAAAGTGAGATCAGCCAGTTGAGTAAGCCTTTCTTTCCAACCATGCTCCCCTATATGGGTGGGTAGTTGGATTTAAGCAGGATATGTGTAGGCCAAGTGAGAATGAAGAAAGAACAGAAGGTCTAAGGTATATTACATAACCATGAAACACAATGGTTGTCTCCAGGAACTGGCAAAATAGTTGAAGTGATAACATAAATGCTTATGAAAAACAAGGAAATATGAAAATACATAACTGTAGAATTACTCTTAAAAGTAATTATACAAAGAGCTTTAAGAGGAATTCAGTGAAAGAAAAAACCGAGAGGTTTGGGTTCGGAAGAAGCCTTCATGGGGGAAGACAGACTTGACTTGGATCATCATGTTAATGATCCCTCAAATGTTTTATTCCCTTAATGAAAAATCTTTAATTATCCTCCATTTACAAGTTTGACTTATTATGGCTTTGATTACAAAAATGTCCTTCTTTAAGGAGTTTTCTTTGGAAATTTAAAATGTGTATAAGAGTAGAGAAAATAAATTCCCAAGTGCATATAAACTGATTTGTCAACTCAGAGCCACTCTTGTTTATCTCTAACTGTGCATCACTAATGCTGACATTTCTGAAATATTCTGTTCCAATTTTCCTAATAGTTAAAAAAAGTGAACACCTGCAATTATAAATAAGTATTTATATAATTCCTTTATATAATAAGTAACGTGTCTATTTATACACTATGATTATATGTCATGAACACATTATTATCAAACATACATTATTAATATATGACTTTTTAAGATATAATTTTTTTAAATTATATGAAATGATATATAAATTGACACTATAAAGTAATATAAAATATTAATGTAATGAATAATATAAAATAATGTATAATATGAATAATATAAAATAATGTATAAATGTATAAATTAAGATATACAGTTATTTAATTCATTTATATATCAGATACATGAACCACAGAAATAATATATTTCTATATAATAAAACATATAAGTAAGAATAAAGTATATGATGAAAATAAATAAATACCACATTAAATTATTTTATTTAATTTTATTAGTTATACCTCAAAACTCTTTGTTCCTACTAAATATTATTGGAAATGCTTCATTGTACTGAAAAATGAATTTTAATTATTTGTTTTTGAATAACATTCTAAAGTTCTGGTTCCAAGTTCAGTGTATTTTAACATTTTATTTTAAAGGGATGGCTGTCATAGCTCAGAAAGGTATATTGACCCAACTGGAGAAGTTCACAACTGGCCATATTTGATCATTTTGATGCATATTTTTCTGTTCCTATTATGAAAAGTGTTTAATTGAAATTAGCTATTAATTTTCTAACCTAACTGATGTTGATAGATTGTTCTTGAATCGTTTGTAAGGTGTTGCATTTTTATATTTTAAGCAAACAGCTCGACACCTAATAATACTATTATTTGGATAATTTAAAACTGATTACAAATTTCTATTTTTATATTTAAGATTCGTGTAAATAACTTATCTTGGCAATACAATCTCATACTGACAGAAACTTTAACAAATACACAATTTCAAAGGAGTTTCTTTCAAAATAAAGGTACTTTGAATTTTTAAAAATATCATATTTTATCTTGAAAAAACAGTAGAAGTTGAATTTTTTACAAAATATCTGCTAGATAGTATACTACTAACAGCAACTTTTTATCACCAAACATTGAGTATATTTGGAACACTTATCTTTTTAAAATAAAAATGCTTACCTTATCTTTTATCTTGACAACTCTTTTAAGTACTTTGCAATGAGATAAAAAGTGAACCTCTTGGATGTTACAAAATAAGGCATGGTCAAGTCCCTTCTCATGTCATGTTCTGTAAAAACTCTAGCCTTTAGCTTAGCATTTAAACCAATCTAACAAGGCACACATAGACTATTATATTTTAACTTTTTCTAAAAGCAAATAAAGAAGGGGGAATACCACTGTCAACCTCTTCATCTTATAAAGCTCCCACTCTGCTCCTAGAGTCCCATGTAAATAGAGGATACTTCGCCTGCTGACCTGCCAACTGAGTGAGGGCACCAATGTTAATCTGAATATTAAATATGAATGTAGCTTGATTTTTAAATCATTTTGATACGAAATAAATATTTCATTTTTTTTTTTCACACACGTCTTGTGCATCCTCTGTGGCTTACAACCTACTTTGCGGACCATTGCTTTAAATATGTGGATTGAGGCATGGTGTTTTTCCAAGGCAAAGAGATGTTGACTGCCTCATATGTTAGGGGCGGTTCTTTTGCTTTCTGGTTAAATAAATAAAACTTGATTAGCATAATCAAACTTATTAAAGAAGCTATTCTAGCGTCTCTAAAAAAATCTAGGAAGTGTTTTTAAATCAAACCTAAAAAAGGGTGGGGCACAGGATGGATGATTTGATTGTGGATCTTCTTTCATCCCAATGCTATTCATGTTTTCCCACTACCAACAGAATCTAGTCCTAACAACTCTATTAAAATTCCAAGTCTGTGAGAACAAGAAGTGATTGGCCCAATTTGGATCTTGTAGGCATTCCTGGTCTAATATTTTATGGATCGAGAGGAGGGTCATATGGCAGAAACATAACTGCTGATAGTTTAATGAGGAACACAGAGTGCAGATCTCAGAGAAAAGGGGCTGGTCAATCCAGCCAAATTGAGTCCCCCATGTCAAGTCTGGTTATGGGAATACAGGGGATATGTGGCAGACAGAGTGAGTTATGTAGTCTGGCTAGAGAAAAGGGTTCATGTAACTGAGCAATAGAAATTAATCAAGACAGATAGATTAGGACTATATTTAATGGGGACCAGGCATGGGAAAATGGAACTCATAAGAAGACACTTCAAAGTACCTAGTTGGGAAGTAAGATTATTGTATCAGTCAGAATTTTATTAGGAACCAATTGAAAGCACACATAATTGAAAAGAATTGAAAGAAGAGATTATTTACAAAAATGTGGACAAGATTAAGGGAAAAACACACAGATGCCAGCAACATTAGACCTGGAGAAGAAAGAGGGAAAATAATTGCCAGCACTTGAAGAGAGCTGAAGATATCAGAGATCCCCATCCTTCCTGTCCTTTGAGAAATACAACTACCAAACCACAGCCAGCCCTTGTTGGTGGCCAGGATAAAAGATATGGTCACCTCTCTGTCCTATTGATTCCTGATCTCCTGTTGGTGACTCTCACTGCAAACTGAAAGAAGCTAAAGAACATCATAACTAGTGGATGGTATCTGCAGAAGTTAACTTTGCAGGGCACAGGGAAGTGTGCAGAAAAGGTAAACACGATTGCAAAGGAGCAAACAGAGATTTTCCATCCAGCTCAAGGATCAAAGTACTATTTTAAGAAGACTTAGCGTTTTAACACTGACTAAAAAGTATTGCAGAGGAGAGATCACAGTTAGAAAGAAATAAGAATTTAAAAAGAGATTGGATTAGTAGCTGATTGGATATGGTAAGATTCAGAAAGAGAGAAATGTCCAGAAATCTCTTTAAAGTAAATTATTTCCTTCAAAGTACCCGTGATGGTTAATACTGCTTGTCAACATGATTGGATTGAAGGATGCAAAGTATTGATCCTGGGTGTGTCCCTGAGGGTGTTGCCAAAGGACTTAACATTTGAGTCAGTGGGCTGGGAAAGACAGACCCACCCTTAACCTGGGTGGGCACCATCTAATCAGCTGCCAGCTCAACTAGAAATATAAAGCAGGCAGAAAAACATGAAAAGACTAGACTCACTTCCTTCTTCCTTCCCTCGAACATCAGACTCCAAGTTCTTCAGTTTTGGGACTCCAACTGGCTCTTCTTGCTCCTCAGCTTGCAGATGGCCTATTGTGGGACCTTGCGATGGTGTGAGTTAATACTTAATAAATTCCCCTTTCTATCTATCTATCTATCTATCTATCTATCTATCTATCTATCTATCTATCTATCTATGTATCTATCTATCTATCTATCTATCTATCTATCTATCTATCTATCCATCCATCCATCTATCCATCCATCCTATTAGCTCTGTCCCTCTAGAGAACCCTGACTAATACACCCACAGACAGAAACAAAGTAGAAAGATATAAAAGTCAGTATGTGTTTGTGGGGGGTGGTGACAAGATCCCAGTTAGATGACCACTGAAATCATTTCCAATTTTATAATTTGGTAAATAAAGAAAATCCTTTTTGATGCTGTGTAGGCTTTTAAATTTCTGCACTAACATGTCAATAATAGAATATGCAATAGTGATTATCAGCCTAGAACTGACCCTGGCTTTGATCTTCCCTGGACCAGCTCTTTGAGCTTACATCCAGTCTGATTCCATGTAGCAAAATGTGTTACGGTATTTTCCACAATTGAGCTCTCTTTTTTTGAAGGATAGTGGTAGTATTAGGAGAACAAATAACATAAAATAGACACCTTTTCTCATACTGTAGATTTAGCCTACTTTTCTTATCTTTCTTTTATGAAAATTATTTTAACTACAAGACTAATACGATTTAATTGCATTGTTTTTGCAAGGCTGTTCTTGCTCTTCTACCAATCGTCTGTTAAGTGCCACCTACTCTATCAATGAGATTTATATTTGTGGGGTGAGATGGGGACAGTGGTAGTGGTTGTATTAGTCCATTCTCACTCAGCTATAAAAAATGTGCCTAAGCCTGGGTAATTTATAAAGAAAAGAGGTTTAATTGGCTTACGGTTGCACAGGCTGTACAGGAAGCAGGCTTCTAGGGAGGCCTCAGGAAACTTTCATGGTGGAAGGCAAAGAGGAAGCAGGCATATCTTAATGGCCAGAGCAGGAGGAAGAAAGAGAGTGGGGAGGTGCTACACACTTTTAAACAATCAGATCACGTGAGAATTCACTCATTATTACGAGAATAGTAAGGGGGAAATCCACCCCTATGATCCAATCACCTCCCACCAGGCCCCTCCTCCAACACAGGTGGTTACAATTTGACATAAGAGTTTGGCAAACACAGATCCAAACCAAACCAGTGATTATATAGCTCTTAGATATAAGGCTACTTTGTCCAGTATCCTAGTTTATTTCTTCTATTGTTAGGAGAAACTTTTAGACATCTCTACCAATTAAGTCTAGTTACACATGTTTTCTTTTTCTTACAATAATTTTAAGAGAATTAAGTTCCTTTTGGAACCTCTCCTTAGACTCTGCACAATTGAATCCACAAGGTGAAGCTATCTTTCAAAACCATTTAGGTAGCACCTGGGAAGAAGGTGAGGAAACCAACATATGACATTATTTAATGTCACTAGGACCATGTGGGAAGGAGAAACCTTTTAATTTTTCTTGGACTTTTGAAATGAGGTCTGAGTTTTATTGAAATCTCCATAAAAACATCATTAAACCAAAATTAAGGGCTCTATACTTTCCAATAATAGCTGGATGGTTCAGAATAACATATTTGCTAGCTGAAAAGTACCTCTGAATAGCTCGTGGCACTGCTGGAAGTCTTGTTCTCCAAGCCCATTAAGTTTATGCATTAGAGCACACAGACAGTGGCAGCTGCCTGACATATCCCATTGTGCTCAAGGACTAGAAAGTGATAAGGTTAATGAGACTTTGTACTGATGATGAACCATAGAGAGTAGAGCTGGCTATATGTAACCACTGCCTTACAGATGCTCTACTGATTTTAAGTGTTAATCTTGCAAGAGTGCAAGGGGAAAAGGTCTATTTTTGATAGAAATATGACCTTTAAAGAAAAATATGCTTTAAATATTTGAACTTTTAATTCTATCAGTTAATAGCATTATTTGGTAAGATTCTAAGAGCAGTCTTGTTCTTCAATTTTGGGTGTTCAAAAAAATTCTGACTGTTGGATAGAGGCATTTCTTTTTCCCCCAGAGGTTGAGGGGCACAAGGTCTGTTTGCTACCTATTGTTAGGGCAGAGAAATGATCCTTCCTCTGTTCTGGAGTCCTAGAATAAAGATAAGCAGTCTAGGTTCAAATTTTCTATTATCTCTAATTTCCTAAATGAGTGATGTTTGAGATATTAGAAAGTATTGGATAGGGGCAGGTTGGTTGATGCAGGTCCCCTTCTGGGAGTTTGACACTCATTTCATTTAGATCTCACATAAGCATTTTAATTTTGTGATTTTCATCCCAGCCTGCATGTACATCAGTGTTACCTGTTTAGCTTTCTTTAAAATTACAAATATCTGAGTCTCATCATTTGAGATTCAGTAGGTCCAAGCATCTGTATTTGCATCAGCCCAAAAATCTCCTTAAGCTGATAAGCAACTTCAGCAAAGTCTCAGGATACGAAATCAATGTGCAAAAATCACAGGCATTCCTATACACCAATAATAGACAAACGGAGAGTGAAATCATGAGTAAGCTTCCATTCACAATTGCTACAAAGAGAATAAAATACCTAGGAATCCAACTTACAAGGGATGTGAATGACCTCTTCAAGGAGAACTACAAACCACTGCTCAAGGAAATAACAGAGGACACAAACAAATGGAAAAACATTCCATGCTCGTGGATATGAAGAATCAATATCGTGAAAATGGCTATACTGTTCAAAGTAATTTATAGATTCATTGCTATCCCCATCAAGTCACCATTGACTTTCTTCACAAAATTAGGAAAAACTACTTTAAATTTCATATGGAATCAAAAAAGAACCCATATAGCCAAGACAACCCTAAGCAAAAGAACAAACAAAAAGAGGCATCATGCTACCTGACTTCAAACTACATTACAAGGCTACAGTAACCAAAACAGTATGGTACTGGTACCAAAACAGATATATAGACCAATGGTATATATTTATTAATTATGTAGATGACAAAAATGATATCCATAAAGGCACATTGATTATTTTTAAAGGCACACTGCTAGGGGAAGAGCTATAATTCAGCTGAAGCCTGCATAATTTCAAAGTCCACGTGATTCCAGTATTCACTGATTCTTTCTTCTGCTACCAACCTTTTGAACCAGGGCAAGTTCAAGGGAAATCCAACTGGCTTTGTGTCAGGGCTCTGACATTTAGAAGGTATACAAATTTTAATTTATAACTTGAAATAACTGTGCAACTTTAAAAATTACACATTTCCAAGTTGATAGCGTATGCACTTCTTCCAGAAACACTCTAGAAATATCAGTAAGTGAGCCTCATACTAGCTAGTGCTAGTAAGAACCTACATTAAGTGCTTCCTACTTCTAGCCACCCTTTTAGATGCTCTGCACATATTAACAAACTTGCTCTTTGTAGCCAGACTATAAGGTGGTCACTAAAATTGTCTCGTTTTACAAATGGAAACACTGGAATCCTCAGAGTTTAACAAATGTGCCCATCTCATGGCTACTAGCAGCAAACCTGGCATTGAAACAATCTGTCTTGTTCAGAGCCCAAGCTTGTAACTGCTACCCCAGGGACTAGTAAACTTTCTGTAAAGGGCCAGATAGTAAATATTGTAGACTTTGTCAACACATGGTCTCTGCCATTATAGCATGAAAACAGCCAGAGATAATACACAAATGAATGAGGCTGGCTATATTCCAACAGCATACTGAATAGAGTGCTATGGACACTGAGATTTGATTGTCATAATTTTCATGTCACAAAATTCTATTTTTAGTTGTTTTTTTTTCAACCATTTAAAAATGTGATAATTATTCTTAGCTTGCGGGCTGTGAAAATACAGGCAGCAGACAGAATTTGACCTATGGGCCATGTGGGCCATGGTTTACCAACACCTGGACTATGCTCTGTTGCCACTTCTTGTTGATAAAGTTCCAGGGGTTATTGTGTTTGGAGAGAAACACTGATTACTTTTGCTTTAACATTCAACTTATTAAACTTACAAATCATTAGGAAATTTTCCCATATCTCTAGGTACAACTTACATATTTAATGAATAAAAATAAACATTTAGAAATCCAATTCACTAACCATCCAAAAGTTAATTAGAATATAGGCAAGTTTTGAATTTTAATAAAAATAGGAATCTGATATAAAAGATCTTTTAAATGCTTACACTCCTTAAAATAGATCAAATATACACAGAATAAATGACCACAAATCTTACTATTACACCAACACTTAAGCCATTACAAAGATATTGACACCCTGGATTTGTGGGTTTACACAATTAGCATTTATATTCATTCCCTTGCATAAAATAACCTGAACAGACCCCCAAATAATAATATTCTCTCAAGCCATGATTGTATGTTCCTATTTAACTAATTAATTATTGATCTGAAAACAAGACATGGTTCCATCCTATGGGGATTCAATACCAGGTCTGCACTGATTGGTCTGGCTTTCTCCTCTCAGTAAAAGATCATAAGCTATTTCATGAGACTTTTGGATGTCATTTTTTTTTTCTTGTGCCTTCCCTATTTTATTCTCTTATCCATCAAGTCATGGCTACAGACATCTCAGATAGTTTTTTATTTCATCATAAATTAGTAGAGTCATGCAAAGATTTCCCTTCAAAAATAGACAAGTCTGTACAGTTAACTCTCTTTTGTGGAAATTTGGTTAAACTACTATCTTAGAATCCACCACTAAACACTGTTTCTACCTGGTAGTTTTTGTGATTATCTCTGCTGACCACTCTCCAGTGTGTAATAGAGTTCTTGGTTTTGTGGTTCAGGTTGGCTTACTAATGACTTTTCCTCTCTATCACACAGTTAACAAACACTAAATATTGATTGTCATGCATATTATTAACAAAAATCAACAAAACCCTGAAAACAGCACACTCAGATATGCCAGTCCACTCACATATGAAAACCAGTTTAAAAAATATATTAAACTTACTCTTCTTTTGCATGCAACCTTCTGCTCTTTGCATTTATATAGTTTTCATCCTTATGGAGTATCTTTATAGTCTGAATTTGTTTCAATTCATTGGGTCTCCCAACCTTGGCACTGTTGTCATTTTAGATGGTAAATTCTTTTTTTTGATGAGGGCTGTACTGTGCATTGTTGGATGTTTAACAGTGTCCCTGGCCTCTACTCATTAGGTACTCTACTCAGTAGCATTCCCCCTCATTGTGACAATTAAAAATGTCCTCAGACATTGCCAATGTCTCCTGGGTGCCAAAATTGTCCCTGCTTAACAACCATTGCAACTGAATACCAATATTTTTCTTATTTTGATCCTTAATAGATCACGAGATGGCCAATAGTAGTTTTTGTATTTGGCCCTATTGTTATTTCAGCATGATCATGTCATGTTTTGAAATTACACTTGCTTTCTGGGAACAAGGAGCTATTCCTCCTTCGTATTTCCCTGCCCTTCTCTCTTAATGAGTTCCAAATCTGGGGGCTTAAAGTACACATCAGAGTGAGTAGGTTGAACCTGGTGACAGCAAAGCCACTGGAATAATCAAGCAGGAAAATATATTTAAAGTCATAATTCCGTAGTGATGTTTACAAAATAAAAGTTAAAAATTGATAAATATTTAATATTTTATTATTTTTTTAATTTACTTTTTTCTATGTGCCTAGTTATATTTTAACCCTTTCCAAATCATATTTGTGCCACCCTTTCTCATATGGCCCTATTTTCCAGTCAATTGGCAGATAACAAGAATAATTGGTTATCTACCATCTAACTGTGAAGCATATCATGAATAGAGCAAGGGTTCTCAACCACGGCTCCTTAGTTTGGGAGGTAAGGTAGCTGAAGCACAGGTATCTGTATTTTGAATATTGAATTGCAAATAATTTCCAGGCAAACTGTTTAGCATTGCTTCCCAGTGGAACCAAACTTGCTGATTAATGTTCTGTATAACTTTGTTGCCTTTGGCTTTATTGTAAATAAAATATAGACACAAGTAACTGTCTGCATATCAGGGTCTTCAACATGGCTTATAACTACAATCATGTCACTCCTTAATTTAAAAAAAACTTCCATGTTACCACATTACTAACTGTAGTTGAGCCAAAATCTTGTGTAGATAAGAATTAGATACGATGATTTAAAAAATATATATTTGTGTTGGTCCTTATCTTCACGAATTCTAATTAAGTTGATTAAGAGCTTAGATTTCTGTGAACATCCCAGACATATTTAATGCAGGGGATCTGGGATCTGAGAAACACAGAAAAATTGAAAACTGTCTTGTAGAATAATGCATAAATAACTTAATCTGGCATTTAAGCAGTTCCATTGATCTGTCTCCAGCCTATCAATCTAATTCCATCAGAGACAAATGACAAGTTGTCTGAATTCTCACTGGATCAGTAAGATCTAAGTCATGCTAAGTATTCTTTGTTCAATGATGGCAGTGAAGTTTGGCTAAACCTGAGCGGACCTATATGACAGATTTTCCTTAAAAATGTGAATATTAAAGGATAAAAGATGAAACCACATTTAGCAGATCATAACCTGGTCTCTGTTATCATCCAGGAATAATTGACATCACTATTTTCTTCCTTTTGTTAGCATTTAAAAATATAGCATGCAAAAAGAAAAGTGCAATGAATTATCATCACAAAAAATCAAGGTAATTTCTGCCTAGTTCAAGATGTGAACTCTGAAATAATCTCAAAAGCCTTCTTCACAGCTTTCTCAGTTACTACTGCCTCTCTCCCTCTCAAATCTAATCACTACCCTGACTTTTATGATATTTGCTTCCTTGTTATGCTTTACCACAAATTCATGCATCCTTGAATACTCAGGCTGCCGTAACAATTTACCATAGACTGGGTGGCTGAAACACCTGGCATTTATTTGCTCACAACCCTGGAGATCTGAAGTCCAAGATCAAGGTGCTAACAAGGTCAGTATCTGGAGAGGGCCCCGTCCTTGGGGTGCGCGATGTCCAACTTGTTTTTATGTTCTCACATGGTCTTTCCTGGGTCTGTGCTCACAGAGAGCACTCTGGTAACTCTTCTTATAAGAGCCTCAATCCCATAATGAGGGCCCCAATCCCATGATCTCATTTAAACCCAATTATCTCCAAATGCCTCATCTTTAAGTACCATCACATTGAGGGTTAGGGCTTTAACAAATGAGTTTTGGAGTAACACAATTTAGTCCATAACAATAAGTTTATTTTCACTTGTCTTGAAATTCATATAAACCAATTTATATAATATACATGTGTCCAGTTTTTACTCAGTATTATGTTTGTAAGATTCATTATATTCTTGCTATAATTCATTTATTCTCAGTGCTGTATAGTGTTTCAATGGTGTATGGTATTTGAATGCTTTTAGGAGACGAAACAAAAATAATGGGAATTCTGAGGTTAAACTCCCGAGGTAGTTGTAGAAGGTCTTCCTATTAACTGAATATCAACCATTTATGAGTTATATATTATAAGTATCTTTGTATTCCATACAGCATTGTATAAAATATAAATATTCCACAATTTACTTATTCCTTTTACTACTAAGAGATGATAGGCTTTTTTGCATGTGTGTGGTTTCTCCCCAGTTTCTGGTTATTACCAGTAATAGTGCTGTGAACATTCTTATACATGTATCTTGCTGTAAAACTACATGTTTTCCTTTATTGTATATATCTCTAGGTGGAAATACTAAATTATATGGTAGCTTTATTTCCAACTTCAGTAGATAATTTCAAACTATTTTCTCAAATGGTTTTATAGGCTAATTTAAATTACTTCTAGCAGCTTATGAGATTTTCCATTGCTCCACATTCTCATTACACTTGATATTGACAGTCATATTTTATTTTAACTACCCCAGGCTTTAATTTTCCTTTCCCCAATGACTAATGCACTTGAGAATCTTTCATAAGTTTTGTGGCTATTTGAATATGGCTTATATCCAGGGATATAGTAATAAGACAAATATTACCTGTTTAAGGCTTTTGCTTATTTTTCTTCGGTTTTGTTTCTTTTTATTTATTGATGTGTAGGAGATCTTCACATTTTCTAAATATCAGCCACTTGTGCATTATAAATATATTTGTCCAGCCTTTGGCTTGCCTTTTCACTCTCTTAGTAATGTCTTTTGAGAAATAGAATTGATCAATTTTAGTATTGTCTGATTTATCATTATTTCCTCTATGGTTAATATTTTTTGTGTCTTTTTTTTAACACACCTTTCTCTACATAAAATCATGAAGATATTCTATAAATAATATCTTCCAGTTTATGGTTTATGTCAAGCTTCAGTGTTTATCCTTATGGATTTTTCACTTGGTCCAGCACCATTCTACACACTTCAGTCTTATTTTTGTTCTTAAATTAGGTATCCCTAAATATGTGTTTCTTTTTCTGGACTAATTTCTATTCCATTGTTCTATTTGTTCTTCCTTGTACCAACACTATCCTTTATTTATTATAGTAGTTTTATGATAAGACTTGATTTCTAATAGAGCAAGTAAATTCATATTTTCTTCATTAAAAGAATCTTGACTTTTAATAATTTTATGTGAATATTATACTCTACTTATTAATTTATATCCAAAATAAATCTTCTAAGATTTTGATTGGTGTTGCATTGAACCGTAGATAAGTTAAGGAAAAGTTGAAATCTATAATTTATCTTTCAAGTCATGAACATAGAATACTTATCCACTTACTTTGTTCTTCCTAATTTCTCTCAATAGTGCCTATTGCTTTCTTTGTAAAGATCTTGCATATTATCCATGAGATTTGTTTTCAGCATTTAATATTTTTGAAGTCACTGCCAAATTTTTTGAAATTACATTTAATTTGCAAAGTTCTGTTTAAAATTCTCATATATAAAAGCATATATATGCTCATATATAAAATCACAATGAATTTTTGTATTATAAGATGATAACCAGCAAATTTGCTGAAATCACTAATTAATTGTAGTCATTTTAGATATTTATTTATGTATTTATTTATTTTTACTTTAAGTTCCGGGATACATGTGCAGAATGTGCAGGTTTGTTACATAGGTATAAATGTGCCATGGTGGTTTGCTGTACCTGTCAACCCGTCATCTAGGTTTTAAGCCCCGCATGCATTAGATATTTGTCCTAATGCTCTCCCTCCCCTTGGTCCCCACCCCCTGACAGGCCCCAGTGTGTTGTTACCCTCCCTGTGTCCATGTGTTCTCATTGTTTAACTCCCACTAATGAGTAAGAATATGTGGTGTTTGGTTTTCTGTTCCTGTGTTAGGTTACTGAGAATGATGGCTTCCAGCTTCATCCCTGTCCCTGCAAAGGACATGATCTCATTCTTTTCTATGTCTGCATAGTATTCCATGGTGTATATGTGCCACGTTTTCTTCACCCAGTCTATCATTGATGGGCATTTAGGTTGGTTCCAAGTCTTTGCTATTGTAAATAGTGCTGCAAGAAACATATGTGTGCATGTGTCTTTATAGTAGAATGATTTATAATCCTTTGGGCATATACCCAGTAATGGGATTACTGGGTCAAAAGATATTTCTGGTTCTAGACCCTTGAGGAATTGCCACACTGATTTTCACAATGGTTGAACTAATTTATACTCCCACCATACCATAGTCATATTAGTGAATCGTGAGAGTACTATTTTTTTGTTTCTAATTCTTACAAACACACACACACACACACATATATAATACCCATACTATTAAATATCAAACAGGAAACTGAGGCTCAGAGCTGAAAAGTAACTTCTCTGAGATTACTGACCTTTTAAATAATGGAAATAGAAAACCCAGATTATTTTTCTTGACCTCATTAGATATGGTTACACATTTGTCAATATTTGCTCTTATTCTCATGTTTAAAGTGTGAGCAAGTCATCCTTCACAATTAAACATTCAAGTGCTTTACATTAGAAACCATGTTTCATTTTTTTAAAAATACACTGACTCTTTTAGCAGAGTATTAAATGCATTTAAGGTACCTATTAAATAATTACTGATATATTCCTAAAAGATAGCTTTTAATATTTTCTTGGATAATGACTGAAATTTATTTTAGAGATTTCTCTTTTAAAGCTATAACATAAGCAATCTAATTCCATAGTTGTGGTTTTATATTATTTCCCATATTAATATGCATATTTTTTCTTTAACGTTGTTATCAGGGCAGCAATGACTATTTTATAGAACACTTTTCTCCAAATTTAAAGGTATATTGTTGTCATAATAAAAGCTTTCGGATGGGTTCAGACTTGTTTGATAAACTGTGGATCTTTTAAGGAGACCAAAGAAAAACAATGGGAAACCTGATGTTAAAAACACTCGGAGGAAAGCAGAATTCTAGGTAGATGGGGCAAAGATGAGTAACAGGGCCTACGTTTGGGAGTTCTCTATGACTTCTCATGTAATAACATGATATTTTATTTAGCCCTAGTCCCTGAAACTGTTTCTCAAACCTCCAATTCCCAAAATGCTCCTAAGAATCTCTACTTTGAGAAGATGATTGTATTATATAAGATTAATTGGGTTATTAGAGTCTCAGCAGCTCCATTTTGGAATGCCAGAATAGTTTTGAGAAGCAGGACAAATTTATCTTCAGGATAGAGAAAGAGAAATGTATTGGAGTTGAATATTTCAAACCAGATTTATACACGCGCATGTAGCAACCTATAGGCAGCTGCATCCCCAGGCAACCTAGTGACCACGGGCAGACCCTACACATTCAAACATAATTACAGATAAAATCTCCTTTTCCTTCAGGTACTCCCTGAGGAAAAAATAGGTGTTTCCATCAAAAGAAAACCTGGCTCCATGCTAATTAAGCAAATGTCGTAAGATAACTGGAATCTGAAACACTCTGCAAAAGTAATATATATATATATATACTATATATAAACATAGTATATATAGGGTTTGTCAGGCATCCACTGGAATTCTTGGGACATATTCCCCTTTGATTATGGGGGTCTATAGTATACCACTTGTGGAGGAATCCTCAAATATTCCTATTCCAATCTGGGTTTTTTTCCCCATTATTTAAAAGGTCTATAATCTTAGAGAATTTACTTTGCAGATCTGAGCTTCAGTTTCCTGTTTGATTTTTAATAGTATGTGTATTATAATAGTACATATAAAGCCTTAGAAAGGGTGAGATTTTATGTATAGATATTTATATGTTTGTGTGTGATCCTTAGCAGAGTGCCTGTATTGCAGTAAGTTAGCACTCATCTTTACAAATAAGACTATGTAATAATGAAATTGATTGATTTAGAGCACATAGAAAAGTGAGTGTCTATTAAAGTCATGTTCCCTAATAATAGCTAACATATTTAAAATGTCAGGGATTTTTCTAAGAGCTTTATGACCCTTAATTAGCTCATTTTATTGTTAGAACAAACAATAAAAGGTTAGTACTATCTTAATATCCACAGTACAACTGACAAAATGAGGTAGTAGCTCACCCAAGGTAGCTTGCCCAAGGTTAATGGTAAATTTGGAAGCAAACTTACACAGGCTGTTGCCAAAGCCTGTGTGTTTGACCTGCTCTGTCTTCTTGTTTGAGATGAATGTGTGTATATGATTGTCCACTAATGTATTCTTCTTAGGATGATATGATTAATAATTTTTTTAATTTTGACATTTGGGATATAGTTCAGACTATGTTTTATGTATATTGTAGAGATAAAATACTTCAAAAGTCCATGGACCATTATTAATAAGCATTAACTTCAAGGCTTCCTTAGCTGGAACAATCAGATATTAAGATCTACCTATAACGTCTCATCGCCCCAGCTGAAGATACCTCTAACATTTTGTGATACAGGTAAAATTATAATACCCTCTTATTACAGCGTGATGCTTTGTTGAACTCTAGGGTTGCGTGCCCTGGGTAGATTACATTATAATCTGGGTATTTCTCCCCTTTCATCAATATTTTTATAAAGTACAATTAGGTTTACATGGGCAGCAGAAGCACTTTGAATTAAAAAACATCATGAAACTGCAGCTTAAATGTAAGGACTAAGTAGAGGGCATACTTTCAAAAATATGTGTCTATATAAATAGAAAGTGATGATTAAAATTTTATCAGTCCCATATGGCACCTATGTAAATAAATACTATTGTTTATGTATCATACCTTTTAGCATCAACTGTTGGAACTACCATCCGTTTTTCTTCAATCCTAAGAATCACAGAACACTCTTAAGTGTACTGAGCCTGAGGCAAAGGTCCACTTATTCTTGGTATAGAAATAGCTGTGTTCTATCTGTTCTGATCTTGCCAAAGCTTGCTCAAATCCTTCTTTCCTATGCTTATCCCATAATGTAGTCTAATAGAAACTCCATTTTCACCAGTGGACAAATGTAGATCTCTAGTTTTCAGCTTATCAGATTTCCCTTGGAGAAATGAAGAGAAACAGCCAGATGAGTACATAGGCATATTGTTTATATCTTGTGAAAATGGTCCAATTACTCCAAGCTTCTGTAATTTATGTTTTGAATGATGATGAAATGAGCAAAAAGAGTAAGGGAAGGTATAGAGACATATTTAAGATGGTTATTTAATTTAGATGGTTTATTAAATGGAAATATTTAAAAATCTGTTTTCCAAGAATGCTAAATTTAGTTTAGAAGCATTAGGTCATTTATAAACTTTGATCATATCAAAAGAGTTATTACTTCTGAAGATTTGAAATTAGATATGAATAATGCTTTTATGCCTGGCAACTCAGCAAACAGTATAGTGATTAGAACACAATCAGCAATATACATTTATTTTACAAAGAAAAAAAAATCCTTTAATTGAATTCAACTAATAGTGCATATGTAAGAGTCTATAATTCTAAAATTGGCTGCCAGGCTGGTCTGAGGCAGTGATGTTTACAACTAATTGATCACAACCAGTTACAGATTCCTTTGTTCCTTCTCCACTCCCACTGCTTCACTTGACTAGCCTTTAAAAAAAATAATACCAATAAATATATTTGGCTGCCAGAATTTCTACCATGTCTTCTGGCTGAAGCCTTCTCAATATTAAGTAGCTATGGCCAAACAGCATTTCATCATTGAGTGATGAGGCAATGTACCTCTCATGTGAGGTAAGCTGTCTTTCTGCTGGGCACTTATCTCTCATATCTGGGCCCCACTTCAAACCCACCCCCAAGAGAATGGGGTGTCTAGATCAAGGAGAAATTAGTTTCTATCTATGGACATACAATGAGGTAGAGATACAAGATGCATATGATATTTTACAGTGACATTGGAAAATGTGACAGTGTTTTTTTTTTTTTTTTTTTTTTTTTGAGGCAGGCCTTATGTTGCCCAGGCTGGACTGCAGTTGTGCTAGCTTGACTCACTGCAACCTCTACCTTCCAGGCTCAAGCAATCCTCCCGCCTCAAGCAATCCTCCCGCCTCAGTCTTTTGAGTAGTTGGGACTACAGGCACATATCACCACACTTGGCTAATTTTTGTTATGTTTTGTAGAGGTGTGGTTTTTCACCATGTTGCCCATGGTGAGCCACTGCACCCAGCTGACAATGTTAAATTTTATCAGAGCCCTGTGAGCATGGAAAATGGTGAGGGTTAGGAATCCCCCCTGCCCTTTTTTCCTTCCAGGAAATTATCTTGCTAAGGATCATTCTGCCCCATATAACTTAGGTACTACTCATTGATGACCCTTGTTTGCCTATGACAAGGAGAACCACAGACCCTCCAAATTCCCATAATTTGCTCATAATTAGATGAAATGCTTTACCCAATTGATCAATTGCAACAAAATGTTTGTTAAGTCAACTTTGGTTAAGTTTTTCTTCTTCCCTCAATTCCTTGAACTTGGGCTCCCGGTCTACCTGTGCCGGCATATAGCCTTTTCATAAGAATCCCACCCGAAAACAGTGAACATCTTACCTCAAGGTGAACATCTTGTAATCTGCTATCCTATCATACTAGCATTTTTCCACAGCCCGTTCTTTCCAGCCTTATTTACTCCTTCCTACACAAGCATATCTCTTTTTGACTAACCCCTGAGACGCTGATCTTATGGTTAACTTTCTTTCTATCGCAATACTCCCTTTCAGCTTTGCAATAATCCTTTTGGATAATGTCTCCCCTTACTAAGTCTGGATTTGTTTTTATTTGATACAGCATTAGTTTCTAGGCTCATGGTTAGAGGGCCAGCATTTCACTTATTTATTTTTTAAGAAAATGTCTTAATTCGCTGTAATTTAACATAAAAGACTTTATGAGGACCTTTATAGTTTGTGAAATTCCTCATTTTCAGCCTGGCAGTGGTTTCAAAGTAAACTAGATGAATTTTCTATTGTGTTTGCAGTCATTTTTTTTAAAAAAGCTTTTCGCAAATGGCCTCAACAGTACAGTAGATACTTCTATTTCTTATCAGTAATCATTAGAAATATAACCAGTGTTGTCTCATGGCCCTCTGAAAACTCTCCATGACCCATCACTGAGGAGATGAGTTTGTACAAGTGATAAGCAATGAAATAAAGAAATTTAAAAGTGGCCGGGCGCGGCGGTTCACGCCTGTAATCCCAGCACTTTGGGAGGACAAGGTGGGCGGATTATCTGAGGTCAGGAAGTCGAGACCAGCCTGATCAACATGGAGAAACCCCATCTCGACTAAAAATACAAAATTAGCTAGGCGCAGTGGCGGGTGCCTGTAATCCCAGCTACTCGGGAGGCTGAGGCAGGAGAATCACTTGAACCCGGGAGGCGGAGGTTGCTGTGAGCCGAGATCGCACCATTGCACTCCAGCCTGGACAACAAGAGAGAAACCCCGTCACACACAAAAAAAAGAAATTTAAAAGTAATGGCTTTGATTCCATAGTGACAGCATTGTTTTTGGAGTTTCTCTAATATATAAACTTCTGTAGAAGTCAAAGCAATGCAGAAAAATGTTCCTCTTCTAAGAAGAAACTGATTATGCTAATCACAGGCTATAATAGAATAGCCTATCTTATTTTCAAAAGCTATTGACAGCTGAAATCTACAATTATGATGGGTCCTGTAGCATACAGCAGTGCTTCTCACATAGGCTCTGTCCCAGATTTCCTGAATCAGAAACCTTTTCGATGTGTTCTAATTATCCATATTTTCAACAACCCGCTTAGGTAATTCTTACCATGGTAACATTTGTACACCATTAACAGACGATCATGGCGTTAGTAGAATATTAGAGGGGAAAATAAGCATATAGTTTGCTTTGCATAGAATCTGATGACATTTATTATTTCCCCAGAAAAATGCACCCCAAAACCTACACATAATTTTACATAAAATTCTGTGGCATTCAAAGATCTTTTGAGGCTGAAGCCTAGATTTGCTGTTCCCAAGTTAAGAGCACCTGTTTGATCTATTCTGTATGTACAGTAAAGATGAAGAAACTGTAGCCTGGTGTGTTAATATTCTGACCAAGATCACACATACAGACTACATACATTCTCAGTTTTCAACAATTTAAAAGCTAAATTTACCTAGGTTTTGGGCAAGCAAAAGAAATTATTTTCAAATAATTTATTCTAAGATAACTTTTTTCCTCTAATGCAAACTTAAAATCACAATCAGTAAATGCAGTTTGTGAATCCAATTTGAGAATAAATTAGTTTTTCTTCCTAAAAATCATTCTTATTTATGGAGCTACTTACTACTGACTTTGAAGCCACTAGAATTAATTCTGCTTGTTACATTGCATTTTAGTCCCAATATAAAATGCATTGATGTGTATTGAAAGTTTTATTTTGTATTCTGGGTGTTGTAGGAATTAAAATATCATACTAAATTCAGTTTTCTGGAATTAGAATGCAAAAATAGAAATTATAATTCCAGGCAGTTCTTTATAACCATAACTTTTTTTTTGCCCTACGGCTCTAAAAAACGATTCCTCTTACTTTCCTCCCTTTACAGAATTCATTTCTTTAAAAGCATTCGCCCTTTAAAAAATGTGTTGGGACCATCCTGGCTAACACGGTGAAACCCCCTCTCTACTAAAAAACACAAAAAATTAGCTGGGCGCAGTGGCGGGTGGGGTGCCTGTAGTCCCAGCTACTGGGGAGGCTGAGGCAGGAGAATGGCGTGAATCCGGGAGGCGGAGCTTGCAGTGAGCCAAGATCACACTACTACACTCCAGCCTGGGCGACAGAGCGAGACTCTGTCTCAAAAACAAACAAACAAGCAAACAAACAAACAAAAAAGTTGGTAAATATCTTTAGTCATGTTAAGGAAACATACTCCTAAAAATCCAGAAGCAAGGAAAAAATGTAATTACATGTAAATGAGGAAAATGTATGAACAGATATGGAGTAAATTTCAAAAGAGGAAAGCCAGTGTAGAGCACATCAACGAATCAGATAAATCACTAGATAGATTTTCTAATGGGAAGAGAGAAACAAGGAGAGAGAGAAAAACAAACAGGCAAATTGGAGAAACAGTGCATACAAAGTAGACATTTCCACCGTGCGCTGCAGTTTTTTCCATCATTATTTGTTTGGGAGATCCCTATATGCCTGCATTTTCCCACAAATTACTTTAAATTATGTTCCAAATTTAAATTGTGCTAAATATTGGTAATAACTGTGTACACCTGTGCTTCACTGTTGGATGTTCCTGCTCTGATGTGCTTTATAAGCATTTACAGCTTTAATGAGCCTGTTTATTTGTAATTGGTCCCTATAGGAACCTGCTGCTGCTTTTCATCCAATTTGAGTTATTTTCTGTTATTCTCTGGAGATGTCATTTGAAATAAAATATATGAAGTTGCTTGTGATCTTGGAGAAAGATGTTTCATATCAGTCATTTTGAAAATGATAGATAAATAACCATATCCTAATCTTGCCTTCAAGGTTTCGCAATTGCTATTTCCCACACTGCTGATCTCATACTTAACTGGCCACCTTCAGTCTATTTCCCAAAACAAAAGAGGCAGTGTGAGGATCCAAGTCAAGAACATCTCTTATTATCTTTCACCTCAACTTCCTCAACACTGGATCTTGGGAAGGTCAGTCTTGCTGCACCTCAGTTCAGTTATCTGTTAAACGGGAAAAAAAAATAGACCTTCCAACCTCATGTGATGATTGTGAGGGTGCAATGAGATAAGTAAAAAGGGGTAACAGAGCTTTTTATTTTAGAAATTGACATACAAGCATCTTTTGAAACCCAAGCATATTTTAGGTTTTTAAAGGTGCTCAGGATTCCTCACCTTATTTAGTGCAGAGAACCACTTGCTCAATCAGATAAAAGCTATAAATTCTTATTGCTTTGGACTTTGTCTTTCTCTCTCATATTTACTTTGATTAGCACAGTCCTTCTTTTGGGCCAGTGATAAGATTTTCATCTGTGTTTTTCTGTTATGAGACTTTAATGTGGTTTTCTCTTGGGGCTTTTTTGATTCTTTATTTCCATGGCTGTCCCTTTTTAGGCAATACTGCTTAATCTCGTTCTAGTCAAACATTTTTGAATTTGTGATCTAGTTTTCCTGTATTTCTGTTTTCTTCTGACCATTCTGTTATGTTTTTTTCCAAAATGAGATCTTTTTATTTGTTTTTGTTTACTGTATTTCTTTCTTTTTTCCTTTATTTCTCATTCCTTTTTTCCTTTTAAGGAGCTATAATCTTTATTACAGATAGCATATTGCTGGGCTGTGTTTTTCTTTTGTTCATATTAAAGGTGGCCAGCCTTTCACTTAGTCTATCTTGTAAGTAAAGTTCTCTTTACAACAAGTAATTTCCAACTTCTCTGGGTTGTTTTTCTTCCCTCTAAGCTACAGTTAAAGGGGTATTTTACCCTATCTTTGTAGTGTGAGAGTGTGGAAGAATCTCAATTGAGTCTTCTGTTGTTTCCTTTAAGATTCTGGTGAATGTCCTATACCAAGATTTAAGATACCTATTTCTATGAGGTGAAGAACATTGGGCTTTTAATCCTTACCACATTTCTGTAAAAAACACTGGAAAATGTCAGAATTTGACACTTTTCTTGCTTCGGATGAAATCCTATGTGATATGTAAAAGCTTCTGTTTTCAATAAATGATGTTTTACTTTTGTCCAGAGTACCTACTCATTACCTTCGTATACTCTCTTCATATTCAAATGTAATCATGATAATTTTCATGATTGTGCCATTCAGTCATGTATCTTTCATTCCTATTACAAATTCTAGAGGTGGTGGTGGTGTGTGTGTGTATGTGTGTGTGCTGGGCATTGTGTGAAGACTAAGCTAATGTACCAGAACCTTTATTTGCCTTTTTGAAGTGAAGTTGTATCCTTTCATTTACAGTTACCACGAGGAATTTCTCCTTTTTATGATTTGTTGCTTTATACTCATTTTGTTAGGCATTGGTGGAAAAATTCTATGATTTGAGTTTCCTCCACCATCCTTTTTACTCACCAGTGTATTTCTTAGTCTTTTTTGAATGAATTCACTGATGACAGGAATGAAATTTGATACTCCCTTAATAACTTCTCTAGTGGAATTCTGTTGCTTCCCTCTGACCCCACAAAGAGTTTCCAAGCTATAGAAACAGAGAAAGGTAACACTGTGCCTGCATGTTCTTTTGTTGATGTGTTTAATCATGTCATACTCTCCTTTTAAGCATATGCTCATGTAGCGCACAAAGGTAGAAGCTCTGATATTGGTGGAGGTTTAGTAAGGAATGTCTTTTGGCACCCTTAGATCTAAACTGAATGGAAAGCTGAATGCAAATTTGGGGAAATGAAAGAGAAGACTCTCTTCTCCTTTCCATCTGGGGAAGATGAATTATTACAACCTCATCTGAGACAGCAGAAGGAACTAAGCATGTTAGTAAATCAACCATTTTCTCTCATTTTTTTCTCACTAATATGAAAATAAAATCTTTTAGATAAGTTGTATAAGCAATGCAGGAGGTTTAAGAGAAAGATCTTTTGGCATCTGGAATTTTTTTCATTCTACATTTGATTTGCAATATCACCTAATGTCACATGAGTCATGTTCTCTAATATTTAAAGCAAATGGTAGAATAAAATCATCAGTATCCCAGCATGAAAAGGTGTCTAGGCATGGTGCTTCTGTTTTCCTTTAGACATGATTAGATGCCTTTATTGTGTTCTTTGCAATCTGCATCTTCTCTCAATTTGCTAAGAAGTGTTAATTCTCTAAGAGGAAAATGTCATTTCTCCAAAACAAAACTTTACGCAGGTGATTTTTTTTAAAAGCCCTGTCAGGTTGACAAGTGCTATAAGATAATAAACCTTGTCTATTATCCATTCTTTCTCCTTCTCTACATAATAACAGATTGATGTGATGGAAGGATATAGAGAAAGAAGATGCACTTAGCATTGTTAACATTGTTTTCTGAAGAATGACTACGCATGTAGTTTAGAACAGCATTTTACTCTCCAAAATTATGATTGGCAAAGAGGTTGTATTTTACCCAAAGGTCAACTAAGCATCAAGACTGATTCTCAAGCAAACTTTTTGTACTTGAGTGAATATTTTAATACTCTTTACCAAATGCATTTACTGACAAAATCTCATTAACTTAACTTTATTGTGTGAAATATTTCAACTTTAATTTTTTAACATATTGTAATGCATATGTAGAGTCTCTGCTCCTGTCTGGGAAACAACTGAACATGAAGCTGCCTCCATGGTAGAAAATAACATTTATACCAGCAAGAAGGTTGAAAATGGAAGGCATATATTCCAACAGCACTTAAAAACAATTTTTTTTTTGAGGCGGAATTTTGCTCTTGTCACCCAAGCTGGAGTGCAATGGCGTGATCTTGGCTCACTGCAACCTCCACCTCCTGGACTCAAGTGATTCTCCTGCCTCAGCCTCCCAAGTAGCTGAGATCACAGGCATGTGCCACCACACCTGGTTAATTTTTTTTTGTATTTTTAGTAGAGACAGGGTTTCACCATGTTGGCCAGGCTGGTCTCGAACTCCTGACTTCACGTAATCCACCTGCAGTAAAAGTCTCAAACATACTGAGAAAAATGCTCTATAAGGATGCTTCCAAGATGGCCGAATAGGAACAGCTCCTGTCTACAGCTCCCAGCGAGATCAATGCAGAAGATGGGTGATTTCTGCATTTCCAACTGAGGTACCTGGTTCATCTCATTGGGACTGGTTGGACAGTGGGTGCAGCCCATGCAGGGCAAGCCAAAGCAGGGTGGGGAGTCACCTCACCCTCACAAGGGGTCAGGGGATTTCCCTTTCCTAGCCAAGAGAAGCTGTGAGTGACTGTGGAGGAGTGGTACACTCCTGCCCAAATCCTGTGCTTTTCCCACGGTCTTCACAACCAGCAGACCAGGAGGTCCTCTCCCATGCATGGCTCAGTGCTCAGTGGGTCCCACACCCATGGAGACATGCTTGCTGCTAGTGCAGCAGTCTGAGATTGACCTGGGACATGGGAGCTTGGCTGGGGGAGGGCTGTCTGCCATTGCTGAGGTTTGAGTAGGTGGTTCTATGCTCACAGTTTGAACAAAGCAGCAGGTAGCTCGAACTTGGCGGAGCCCACCACAGCTCAGCAAGGCCTATTGCCTCTGTAGATTCCACCTCTGGGGGCAGGGCATATCTGAACAAAAGGCAGCAGACAGCTTCCCCAGACTTAAACATCCCTGCCTGACAGCTCTGAAGAGAGCAGTGGTTCTCCCAGGATGGGATTCGAGCTCCAATAACAGACAGACTGCCTCCTCAAGTGGGTCCCTGACTCCCATGTAGCCTGACTGGGAGACATCTCCCAGTAAGGGCTGACAGACACCTCATACAGGTGGGTGCTCCCCTGGGACGAAGCTTCCAGAGGAAGGATCAGGCAGCAATATGTGCTGTTCTGCAGCCTCTGCTGGTGATACCCAGGTAAGCAGGGTCTGGAGTGGACCTCCAGCAAACTCCAACAGACCTGCAGCTGAGGGGCCTGTTTGTTAGAAGGAAAACTAATAAACAGAGAGGAATAGCATCAACATCAACAAAAAAGACATCCATACCAAAATTCCATCTGTAGGTCACCAACATCAAAGACCAAAGGTAGATAAAACCACAAAGATAGGGAGAAACCAGAGTAAAAAGGCTGAAAATTCCAAAAACTAGAATGCCTCTTCTCCTCCAAAGGAATACAACTCCTCGCCAGCAAGGGAACAAAACTGGACAGAGAATGAGTTTGACAAGTTGACAGAAGTAGGCTTCAGAAAGTCAGTAATAACAAACTTCTCTGAGCCAAAGGAGCATGTTCTAACCCATTGCAAGGAAGCTAAAAACCTTGAAAAAAAGGTTAGATGAATGGCTAACTAGAATAACCATTGTAGAGAAAAGCTTAAATGACCTGATGGAGCTGAAAACCACAATACGAGAACTTCGTGAAGCATAGACAAGCTTCAATAGCCAATTCAATCAAGCAGAAGAAAGGATATCAGTGATTGAAGATCAAATCAATGAAATAAAGCAAGAAGACAATATTAGAGAAGAAAGAGTGAAAAGAACAAAGCCTCCAAGAAATATGAGACTATGTGAAAAGACCAAATCTATGTTTGATTGATATACCTGAAAGTGACAGGGAGAATGGAACCAAGTTAGAAAACACTCTTTAGGGTGTTATCCAGGAGAACTTCCCAAACCTAGCAAAGCAAGCCAACATTCAAATTCAGGAAATACAGAGAACACCACAAAGATACTCCTCGAGAAGAGCAAACTCAAGACACATAATTGTCAGATTCACCAAGGATGAAATGAAGGAAAAAATGTTAAGGGCAGCCAGAGAGAAAGATTGAGTTACGCACAAAGGGAAGCCCATCAGACTAACAGCGGATCTCTCGGCAGAAATCCTACAAGCCAGAAGAGAGTGGGGGCCAATATTCAACATTCTTAAAGAAAAGAATTTTCAACCCAGAATTTCATATCCAGCCAAACAAAGCTTCATAAGTGAAGGAGAAATAAAATCCTTTACAGACAAGCAACTGCTGAGAGATTTTGTCACCACCAGGCCTGCCTTACAAGAGCTCCAGAAGGAAGCGCTAAACATGGAAAGGAACAACCGGTACCAGCTACTGCAAAAACATGCCAAATTGGAAAGACCATTGATGCTATGAAGAAACTGCAACAATTAACAGGCAAAATAACCAGCTAGCATCATAATGACAGGATCAAATTCACACATAACACTATTAACCTTAAATGTAAATGGGCTAAATGCTCAAAGTAAAAGACACAGACTGGCAAGTTGGATCGAGTCAAGACCCATTGGTGTGCTGTATTCAGGAGACCCATCTCATGTGCAGAGACACACATAGGCTCAAAATAAAGGGATGGAGGAAGATATACCAAGAAAATGGAAAGCAAAAAAAAGCAGGGGTTGCAATCCTGTTCTCTGATAAAACAGACTTTAAGCCAACAGAAATCAAAAGAGACACAGAAGGCCATTACATAATGGTAAAGGGATCAATTCAACAAGAAGAGCTAACTATCCTAAATATATATGCACCCAATACAGGAGCACCGAGATTCATAAAGCAAGTTCTTAGAGACCTACAAAGAGACTTAGACTCTCACACAATAATAATGGGAGACTTTGATGCACCACTGTCAATATTAGACAGATCAACGAGACAGAAAATTAACAAGGATATCCAGGACTTGAACTCAGCTCTGGACTAAGTGGACCTAATAGACATCTACAGAACTCTCCACCCCAAATCAACAGAATATACATTCTTCTATCACCAGATTGCACTTATTCTAAAATTGACCACATAATTGGAAGTAAAACACTCCTCAGCAAATGTAAAAGAACAGAAATCACAACAAACTGTCCCTCAGACCACAGTGCAATCAATTTAGAATTCAGGATTGAGAATCTCACTCAAAACTGCACAACTACGTGGAAACTGAACAACCTGCTTTTGAATGACTACTGAGTAAATAATTTAATGAAGGCAGAAATAAAGATGTTCTTTGAAACCAATGGGAACAAAGACACAATGTACCAGAATCTCTGGGACACATTTAAAACAGTGTGTAGAGGGAAATTTATAGCACTAAATGCCCACAAGAGAAAGCAGGAGAGATCTAAAATTGACACCCTAACATCATAATTAAAAGAACTAGAGAAGCAAGAGCAAACAAATTCAAAAGATACCTGAAGACTAGAAATAAATAAGATCAGAGCAGAACTGAAGGAGATAGAGACACAAAAAAAAAATTTCAAAAAAATCAATGAATCCAGGAGCTGGTTTTTTGAAAAGATCAACAAAATAGACCACTAGCATGGCTAATAATGAAGAAAAGAGAGAAGAATCAAAGAGACACAATAAAAAATGATAAAGAGGATATCACCACTGATCCCACAGAATTACAAACTACCATCAGAGAATACTATAAACACCTCTAGGCAAATAAACTAGAAAATCTAGAGGAAATGGATAAATTCCTGGATACATACACCCTCCCAAGACTAAACCAGGAAGAAGTTGAATCTCTGAATAGACCAATAACAGGTTCTGAAATTGAGGCAATAATTAATAGCCTACCAACCAAAAAAAGTCCAGGACCAGATGGATTCACAGCTGAATTCTACCAGAGGTACAAAGAGGAGCTGGTATCATTTCTTCTGAAACTTTTCTGATCAATAGAAAAAGAGGGAATCCTCCCTAACTCATTTTATGAGGCCAGCATCATCTTGATACTAAAGCCTGGCAGAGACACAACAAAAAAAGAGAGAATTTTAGGCCAATATCCCTGATGAACATTGATGTGAACGTCCTCAATAAAATACTGGCAAACTGAATCCAGCAGCACATCAAAACATTTATCCACCCCGATCAAGTCAGCTTCATCCCTGGGATGCAAGGCTGCTTTAACATACACAAATAATAAATGTAATCTATCACATAAACAGAAACGACAAAAACCACATGATTATCTCAACGGATGCAGAAAAGGCCTTTGACAAAATTCAACAGCCTTTCATGCTAAAAACTCTCAATAAACTAGGTATCGATGGAACGCATCTTAACATTATGAGAACTATTTATGAAAAATCCCAGCCAACGTCATACTGAATGGGCAAAAACAGGCAGCATTCCCTTTGAAAACCAGCACAAGACAAGGATGCCCTCTCTCACCACTCCTATTTAACATAGTATTGGAACTTCTGGCAAGGGCAATCAGGCAAGAGAATGCAATAAATGGTATTCAAGTAGGAAGAGAGAAAGTAAAATTGCCTCTGTTTGTAGATGACATGATTTTATATTTAGAAAACCCCACCATCTCAGCCCAAAATCTCCTTAAGCTGATAAGCAACCTCAGCAAAGTCTCAGGATACAAAATCAATGTGCAAAAATCACAAACATTCCTGTACACCAATAACAGACAAACAGAGAGCCAAATCATGAGTGAGCTCCCATTCATAATTGCTACAAAGAGAATAAAGTACCTAGGAATCCAACTTACAAGGGATGTGAAGGACCTCTTCAAGGAGAACTACAAATCACTGCTCAAGGAAATAAGCGAAGACACAAACAAATGGGAAAACATTCCATGCTCATGGATAGGAAGAATCAATATCGTGAAAATAGCCTTACTGCCCATAGTAATTTATAGATTCAATGCTATCCCCATCAAGCTACCATTGACTTTCTTCACAGAATTAGGAAAAACTACTTTAAACTTCATGTGGAACCAAAAAAGAACCCACATAGCCAAGACAATCCTGGGCAAGAGCAAAGCTGGAGGCATCACACTATCTGACTTCAAACTTTACTACAAAGCTACAGTAACCAAAACTGCAAGGTACTGGGAAAAAAACAGATATATATACCAATGGAACAGAATGGAAGCCTCATAAATAACACCACAAATCTACCCCCATCTGATCTTTGACAAACCTGACACACACAAGCAATGGGGAAAGATTCCCTATTTAATAAATGGTGTTGGGAAAACTGGCTAGCCGTATGCAGAAAACTGAAACTCTTCCCCTTCCTTACACCTTATACAGAAATCAACTCAAGATGGATCAAAGACGTAAATGTAACCCCTAGGACCATAAAAATCCTGGAAGAAAACCTGGGCAATACCATTCAGGACATAAGCATGGGCAAAGACTTCATGTCTAAAACATCAAAAGCAATGGCAACAAAAGCCAAAATTGACAAATGGGATCTAATTAAACTGAAGAGCTTCTGCACAGCAAAATAAACTATCATCAGAGTGAATAATACCTACAGAATGGGAGAAAATTTTTGCAATCTATCCATCTGATAAAGGGCTAATATCAAGAATCTACAAAGAACTTAAATTTACAAGATAAAAGCTAACAACTCCATCAAAAATGGGCAAACGATATGAACGGACACTTCTCAAAAGAAGACATTTATGCAGCCAACAACCATATTAAAAAAAGCTCATCATCACTGGTCATTAGAGAAATGCAAATCAAAACCACAATGAGATACCATCTCACGCCAGTTAGAAGGGTGATCATGAAAAAGTCAGGAAACGACAGATGCTGGAGAGGTTGTGGAAAAATAGGAATGCTTTTACACTGTTGGTGGGAGTATAAATTAGTTCAACCATTGTGGAAGACAGTACGGTGATTCCTCAAGGATCTAGAACTGGAAATACCATTTGACCCAGCAATCCCATTACTAGGCATATAGCCAAAGGATTATAAATTATTCTACGATAAAGACACATGCACACATATGTTTACTGCAGCACTATTCACAATAGCAAAGACTTGGAACCAACCCAAATATCCATCAATGATAGACTGGCTAAAGAAAATGTGGCACATATACACCATGGAATACTATGCAGCCATAAAACGGGATGAGTTCATGTCCTTTGCAGGGACATGGATGAAGCTGGAAACCATCATTTTCAGCAAACTATCACAAGGACAGAAAACCAAACACCACATGTTCTCAGTCATAAGTGGGAGCTGAACAATGAGAACACATGGACACAGGGAGGGGAACATCACACACTGGAGGGCCTGTGGGAGGTGGAGAGCTAGGGGAGGGATAACATTAGGAGAAATACCTAATGTAGGTGACAGCTAGATGGGTGCAGCAAACCACCATGGCACGTGTATACCTATGTAACAAAACTGTACATTCTGCACATGTAACCCAGAAATTAAAGTAAAAAAAAAAAAAAGAAAAAAAAAGAAAAATGCTAAGATTTTCGTTTTTAGTTATCCAGATTTCACCCTCGTTATTAACCAATGTCTTAGATGCAGAGATATCTACTTTGACTATATATGTATATGTTTGGCATAAAAGATATACATATACTGAATATTATATTTTTATTAATATGTATTTTAATAATTATTTAAATTATGAAGTATATTTTATTTAATATTAAATTATTAAATATATTTTAATAATTATTTAATAATAAATATATATTTGTGAATAATATATATTTTATGCTGAATATATATTCAGCATAAAATATTTTTTACAATAAAATAATACATTGCCTTAGACTTCTGAGAAAAGAGGGGGGTCTTTGGAGAGAAATTTAATGGAATATTTGAAGTAATGGTACATAAGAAAAGAGTAAGTCAATAGTTCTTGAGAATATTGTTGCTCAAAGCTAGAGGCTCGTTAGGAGATATTCAGGTGAATCAACTGCTCTTGCACAGGAGGAAGATGGATGCAGGATACTCATCAGTAGCTTAAGGAAAATGTCAGAAGTGTGTTCCTCCCTTTCTACTGACTTAAGGGAATGGGCCATTAGAACTGGGATTCATAAGATTCTGTATTTATTGTTTCTTTCCTTTCTCCATTTTATACACAGCTTGAGAAGAGAGAAATGTAGCTACCTGTCTTTATGTATCTACCTATCTATCTATCTATCCATCTTTCTACATCTGTCTCTTTAATATCTATCATCTATTTACTTATAATGGTAATAAAAACTGTTTTTCAAGTCCTTGCTTTGATTGTGATTACTAAATACTGCTCAGATTTTGTTTTCATGACCATCTTCATTTTTTTCACTTAAGGTATTCTATTATTATTCTTAGTGGACAGTTGTTCATCACATTGGGTGATCTGCGGTCTCATATGTAAGATTATTATCTGAAATTCATTATGTAAGCAGAGGCAAAATAAAATTAGTTCTGATGGCATGCAGATGGTAAAAGTTTGGGAGTTGAAGCTGGTATAAATAAGAAATTACATATGGCTATGAAAAATTTTATTTCTTATTCATATTATGTAATGTGTCACATATTACCTAGTTCTCCTGATATTTCAAGTATGCATGTCCTGTTTCAAACAATTGAAATAATACTGATAATTACCATTTATGAAATGCTTAATAGTTGGGTTTATAGTAGGTGACTATATAAATAATCTCTAAATCTTTTTTTTTTTTTAAGATGGAGTCTTGCTTTGTCACCAGGCTGGTGTTGCCAGGCTGGAGTGCAGTGGCATGATCTCGGCTCATTGCAACCTCTGACTCCTGGGTTCAAGCAATTCTCCTGCCTCAGCCTCCCAAGTAGCTGGGATTACATGCATGTGCCACCACACCCAGCTAATTTTTGTATTTTTAGTAGAGACGGGGTTTCACCGTGTTGGCCAGGATTGTCTCGATCTCCTGACCTTGTGATCCATCTGCCTTGGCCTCCCAAAGTGCTGGGATTACAGGTGTGAGCCACCACACTCGACCAATAATCTCTAATTCTTATAACAAAAAAAGCAAGGGAGCCATTGCCACATTTACAGAGAGGAAGATGATATTTAGAGAAGTGTCTAGGCAAAGGCCAAACAGTAAGTGGTAGACCTAGAATTTGAACCTACACAAAACAGTCACTAATCAACTTTTTCTGTGCCCTTTGTGTTATCTCAAATAGATTGTAAATTTGGGGGTGGGGCGGTAGCAATTTTGCCTCATATCTGAGGCCATCCTTGCCTAATCTTTGAAAATTTTATCTCCATCCCCTCTTTAATTGTTAATAACTTACAAAGTGCTTATTATGTGCCAGGCACTGTTCTAAGTATTTCTTCAATTGTTAATTCATTTAATTCTTACGACAACTACACGAGATAGATATTATTACCATCCAAATCTGATAAAAGCAACAATGCACAGAAATAGAAGAGTCTCAGTATAATCGACTTGCAACTAAATGACTGGCCTGAGAGATTTCTGCCATCTAAGGGCTAAGTGTAAGTCTCTGCTATTAGCATGTGTGGCATTCAGCAGTATCTATACTGAATCCACTGTGTTGTTTACCCCACGTGGGACCTCCATCTCTGCCACCATGGTCGTTCCATTTATGAATCTTTCTCTTGTGTATGTAATAAGATTGTTGAGGGGAGAGACTCACTGATAACCAGAGGATGTCATCCCATCTACCTGGTTGTTGAGCCTGTCCTGTTTGGATGCTCTTTGGTGGGATTAATTTCAGACACATAAATTTTTACACTTAATTCTACTTCCATAGGTTCATTCAAATGCTTCTCTCCCAGACTTTGATCTTTTTATTACACTCTTTTTCAACCTCGGATTAACCAGCCAAGCCATTCATTACCTGAAATTGACAACCTTTCAAATCCCCTGATAATGGATTGGAGAAGTTTTCCCTAGCCTGGTATATATTCTCTCTAAAATACAAAGAGGCGTACCAAATGCTATTCCACTTAGTGAATTAGTGGTAGAGCAAGCAAGGTGCAATAACTTGTCCTTTAGCTAACATAGGATGTCCTGGTTTGCCATGGACTAATAACTTTACTGGATCTTCATATTTTCCAGCCTATCTTCAGCACGAATGTATTTGAAAAATGTACTTGCCATTTCCTGTCCATCTGGTCGATTTCTCATTGTTGTCATATGGTGGAAAAATGTGGTCCTCAGAAGAATGTTAAGATTATAAAAGATCATAAAATTTCTGGGAAGTGTAAATGATTGGATATTTATTTTCTATACTCTTAACAAAATGTTATTTGATTAAAAATAGTTTTACAGTTATATTATTCTCCCCAATGAGTCATAAATTTCTTGAGCACAAAAATACGTTTTATTTTTTATAACCACAGCTATTATTAAAATGTCTTCTTATTGTTACTATAAATGGTGAATTGAATTGAATAAAACTAGTTTAGTAATTTTGAAGACATGATTGAAATATATGACCTGGGTAACCTGGGGAAATGCTATGAAATTGAATTAATTAAAGAAAATATTTGATAATATCGCTGGCAGAAAAAGAAAAAAATGCATCAAGAGTGAGAAAGAAAAGGAAACTAAGAAATCAAATATTTTTTAGTGTGCCTGTTTTGCACTGACCATCTGTGCTTTGTGCAAGAGTCAGCAATGTAGTATGCTTACTTAAGGAGCAAACACCATTACTGAGATTCAGAAATAAGCCCAGGGCATTTAGGCCTGGCTAAGTCTTCAACCCTTGATAATTTTCTGTTGGTGCCAGAAAACACAGGGCATCATTTTCAAGTATATGTATAGTCAATTACATGGAATTACCATGAAGAAAGCATAGTTTAATTAAATTTAAAAAGAAATAAACAGAGTATTTCCACATATAATAATCAGTATCAGTATCATCCCTCTATATCATATCTGCTGCAGTTCTTAAAGAACAACCTCATTCCCATTATCATGAGTTCAAGAAAGCCTTTCCCATATTTTTAGTTCACTTTCTGGAATTTCATATATATATATATATATATATATATATAATTAGTTACATATATAATTAGTTACATATATAATTAGTTATATATAGTTATATATGTATATATATAAGTTATATATATATACGCACACACACACAGACGACAGAGCTCACCATGTTGCCCAGGCTGGTCTCAAACTCTTGGGGTCAAGCCATTTGCCCGCCTCTGCCTCTCAGAGTGCTGGGATTACAGACATGAGCCACCATGCCAGGCTTAGCTTATGTTTGAGCTAAACAGAGCATCACAGCATCTATTTAAAATGAGCCATTGCACTGTATCCCATAAATATTTACAATTATTGTGTGTCAAAAACAAAATAAAACTTAAAAAAATAAGAAACCAATCATGTCCTTGGATCAGAATGATACCAGTTTTTCATCTATAGGAGAATGGCTAGAATCAAGATAAAACCCAAATTTAGATAGGTCTTCAATGAAAAATATTTTGCTTCTTAGCCAAAATAATCTTAATTCTCTTCTAAATATCAAGTTCAGTATGTAAGTTTAAATAATACTAAAATCAAGCAAAGTTACTAAATATTCTTCTTCTTTTTTTTTTTGCTAAAGGTCAAGCTAGTGTTCTTTTTTTTAAATTATACTTTAAGTTTTAGGGTACATGTGCACAACGTGCAGGTTAGTTACATATGTATACATGTGCCATGTTGGTGTGCTGCACCCATTAATTCGTCATTTAACATTAGGTATATCTCCTAATGCTATCCCTCCCCCCTACCCCCACACCACAACAGGCCCCGGTGTGTGATGTTCCCCTTCCTGTGTCCATGTGTTCCCATTTTTCAATTCCCACCTATGAGTGAGAACATGCAGCGTTTGGTTTTTTGTCCTTGCGATAGTTTGCTGAGAATGATGGTTTCCAGCTTCATCCAGGTCTCTACAAAGGACAAGAACTCATCATTTTTTATGGCTGCATAGTATTCCATGGTGTATATGTGCCACATTTTCTTAATCCAGTCTATCATTGTTGGACATTTGGCTTGGTTCCAAGTCTTTGCTATTGTGAATAGTGCTGCAATAAACATACGTGTGCATGTGTCTTTATAGCAGCATGATTTATAATCCTTTGGGTATATACCCAGTAATGGGATGGCTGGGTCAAATTGTATTTCTAGTTCTAGATCCCTGAGGAATTGCCACACTGACTTCCACAATGATTGAACTAGTTTACAGTCCCACCAACAGTGTAAAAGTGTTCCTATTTCTCCACATCCTCTCCAGCACCTGTTGTTTCCTGACTTTTTAATGATTGCCATTCTAACTGGTGTGAGATGGTATCTCATTGTGGTTTTGATTTGCATTTCTCTGATGGCCAGTGATGATAAGCATTTTTTCATGTGTCTGTTGGCTGCATAAATGTCTTCTTTTGAGAAGAGTCTGTTCATATCCTTCGCCCACTTGTTGATGGGGTTGTTTCTGGATCCCTTCCTTACACCTTATACAAAAATTAATTCAAGATGAATTAAAGGCTTAAATGTTAGACCTAAAACCATAAAAACCCTAGAAGAAAACCTAGGCAATACCATTCAGGACATAGGCATGGGCAAGGACTTCATGTCTAAACACCAAAAGCAATGGCAACAAAAGCCAAAATTGACAAATGGGACCTAATTAAACTAAAGAGCTTCTGCATGGCAAAAGAAACTACCATCAGAGTGAACAGGCAACCTACAAAATGGGAGAAAATTTTTGCAATCTACTCATCTAACAAAGGGCTAATATCCGGAATCTACAATGAACTCAAACAAATTTACAAGAAAAAACTAAGTATTCTTCTATGAGTGGCAAAACTGGTTCAGATTTCTTCTTGGATTTGTCCTTTTATATTTTATTGAAATTTTACTGAAAATTTATTGAAAATTTCTATTTTATGACAACTCCAAGTAGTTAAAGTAAAACAAAGTACTTTAAAAATCTTAATGTATTATTAGTTTCTTCGTATTCCACTACATTCAACAGACAGCATCAGTATTCTCTGTTCCCATTTCACTTTCATTCTCCCCATAGGTAAAATGTATCCTAAATTTTGTTATTTGTATGCATATTTTATACATATCAAAAGTATATAAGCGTATATTTGTAAATGTTTTCATGCTCTATGAATTACAATGTTGATGTTTTCTCATTATAATACTGGCATTATGGATTCAGGGACAAAATATCATTGAGATGAGATGCTCTCTTTACCTCCTCATATCAGAATAGTCTCCATCACTGTAATCCATTGCCACTTTGTTTATGAGCCCATTGGTTAGGACATGGGTGACTGGGAAAGGGACTGTTTGATATTCCAGAATGATCATCTTATCCACATGATTATTAAGATTCTCCTTCTGTGGTTGCTCCTTGGTGAGCATATTCACATGGGAAACATATATCCTTATACTCTCTGACTTTGGTGTGAGTTCTCGTAATCTAGTGAATTTACACCCACCAAGGCAAATTTGACTATAAAAACTGCTGATTGACACATATATCAACAAATATATCAATAGCAGAGATCATCACTGGCCCTCATGACACCATTCTCTAGAATAACCATCAGATCACTTTGTGGCAGACTGGTTGCCCTGCACCACATTCATCGTGGAAGGAGCATCCTTGTATTATCAGTTGTTTTGTACATAAATTTGTCTTTTCTGCTCTCAATGTTTCTACTGAAATTGACGAGCTTGTCATTCTGTAAATGACATATTCATATTCTTGGTATTGTACATAGCGTTGCTTCTGACCAATGAACTCATTTTATAAGCAAAGGAATTAAGGTAATGAGATCATGATCATGAATTCAATGGTTTTACCATGTTCTCCATCAGTCTGAAGTACCTGAACAATTAGAACTGTGGAATGGCCTTTGGAATATTCACTTTGAAGATGCGCCAAGTTATTGACAACACTTTGCAGGGTCAGGGTTATATCTCTCTGGATGTGTTTTATAATTTAAATCAGTGATGAATAAAAGTGCTGTTTCTCCTATAGCCAGCATAAATGTGTCTCAGAATCAAGTGGTAGAAATGCTATTGATTCTTCTTATGTGTTTGCCTCCCATTTTTTTGTGCATTTGTGCTTTGCTGAGTTTGAAGTCTTAGTTTCCAAAAGAGAAATATTTTTCACCAGAAGACACAGCAAGATAATGAATCTGCAATCTGACCAATGGACATCAGGACAAAAAGAGGCTTAATATACTGGCTGGGGTGATTGACCCTCACTATCAAGAAAAATTATGTTGCTAGCATACCTGAATATGGAAATGGGTTTGGAAGTCAGAAAATGTCCTGGACACCTTTAATACCTTCATATTTCTCTGATAGAAATTGATAACAAACAACAGCAGCCCCATACAACCAAGCTGGTTAATGACCTTGACATTTCATGAATGAAGTTTTGGGTCACTGGGTCACCCCACCAGGGAAGGAACCATAACCAGCTTCAGATACTTGCTAAGGGCAAAAGGAATAAGGAATCATTAAGAAAGTGAACATTTCTAAATATCTGCTACTATCATGTATTTAGTTGCAAAAATAAGAACTGCATTTGTTATGAGGTCTTTGTTTTCGAAAATAATATATTTTAATATATATGTATATATGTAAAATATAAAATACATATTTGTATATATGTGATATTATGTGTATGTTATATATGTAAAATATAAAATAACATATTTGTGTATGTGCTAATTGTATTTATATGCATTATTAACACATGCACACATAATTTAATTAGGGTTACCTTAAAAGATATCAAAGAAAGATTGAGTCTCAGCTAGGAGAGGAATGAACATCATTCAAAGATAGATAAAGTGACATATGAGACTTTGTACTATATTAGGGTAAGAGTTAGCTGTTTTCAATTATAAGAGGAATTATTACACAGATGGAGGCATAATTATGTATTTGCAAATGTGTTCTAAAGAGTAATGTATGAGTGTCAATTTGTAAAGTAGAGAGCTGCAGTGGGTTTGTACTTTGTCAAAGTAGCTAAGCTAGAACTACCTTTCCCAGAATTCACTTTTCTCTATGGTTTCATATTAGCATTGGCTGCAAGAAAGAAATTTATGAGATTTAGAAGGCAGAAGTAAAGCAGCAGGTTAGTGTCTAGTCTTAGGCACTACTGAAGCATCTCCATGTTGGTGATACTTTGGTTGCTTCACCTTGATGTGATACAGTACTCATGCTCTGTTTTTGTAGCTTTTCCCAGATCTCCTCTGTTAATGGGGCTAAGCGCATTGTGAAAGGCACTGATTTCTTATTCATGTTACCTGTATCATCAAGATCAAATGCAGTCAGAGAAAAATGTGAGTTTGAGTTTGCCTTCATGGGTTCTAGCTTTTCATCTTGAATTCCAGTTTTTTCTTCTGGGTTCCAGGTTATCCTTGTGAGTACCATTTGTCATTGCTTTCTCCTGGTTTGTGTTCAGCTGTTCTTATCAACTACATAATCTATTGACAAATGGCAATATCAGGCTACTACCAGACTCAAAGGCAACAGCCTTTCATACACTTCTTCACCAGCTCCCCTTTGTTCTTCCTTCTTAATGACTATCCTTTGGTCATCTGACTCTACGTATCTAACTTACCCCACAGTTGTATAAGGTCAAATCATTATAAATTTCTTATTCCATAGCACTCATATTGGTTCTGCTTCCAAATTTCACTTTCATATATCTACCTGTTTATCTCACGTACTACCTGCTGCGTAATTTACTCAATTCTGCCTTGAAATTCACTAATTCTATATTTTCTGGCAATGTGCTATGAGACCATATGCTATTTTATATTTATCCATTTTAAATACTATATTGTTTTATTTCATTTTTATTATATATATCTATGTATGGTATATAACATGTTTATATATATAATATATATATAATTAAAAATATATATTTTAATATATATATTTAATTTTATTTATATATAAAATTTATATAATATATAAATTTTAATATATATATTATATATATATTAAAAGAGTTACTGTGGCCAAGCAAATTAACATATCCTTCACCTCACAATTACCTTTGTGTATGTGTATGTGTGTGTATGTGTGTGTGTGGTAAGGGCACCAAAAATCTAATCTCAGCAAATTTCGAGTATGCAAAATAACATTATTAACAATAGTACTCATGCTATACATTAGATTTTTAGATTTATCCATCCTACATAACTACAACTTTGTATTCTTTGGACATCTCATTACCACCCTCCCCACTCCTGGTAACCACCATTCTATTCTATGTTTCTATATGTTCATTTTTTTTTTTTAAGATTCCACATGTAAGTGAGAATATGCAGCATTTTTCTTTATGTATCTGGCTTATATCAATTCGGATAATGTCTTGCAGGTTTGCCTTAGTCTGTTTTCTGCTGCTATAACAGAATACTACAGACTGAGTAATTTATAAAGAATAGACATTTATTTAGCTCATTGTTCTGGAGGCTGGGAATTCCAAGAACATGGTGCCAGCTTCTGGTGGGGACCTCTATGCTGTGTTATCCTATGGCAGAAGAACAAGTGAGTGCACAAGACAGAGAGAGAAAATTGGGCCAAACTCGTTCTTTTTGTGAGGAATCACATTTGTGATAACTAAACCAGTTATCATAACAGCATTAATTCATTCATGGGAGTGGAATCCTCATGACCTAATCAATTAATAAAGGCTATATGTGCCAATACCATTATAACAACAATTACATATCAACATGAGTTTTGGAGGGGGGCATTCAAACCATAGTATGGTATATCCTTGTTTTCACAAAAAGAAGGATCTCCATTTTTTAAGGCAAAATTTTATCTATAGCCATTCATCCCTTGACAGACATTTAGATTGTTTCCACATCTTGGTTATTGAGAATAATGCTGCAATGAACGTCAAAGTGCTGATATCTTTACTCTGGTGCTAACTTTATTTTAGGGGGGTATATACCCAAGAAAGAGATTGCTGGGTCATATGGAAGTTCCATGTTTTATTTTTTTGATAAACATTTATCCTGTTTTTCCTAATGGCTGTACTAATTTACATTCCCACTAATGGTGTATAAGTTGCCTTTTCCTTCACACCCTCGCCAACATTTGTTATCTCTTGGCTTTTTGATGATGGCTGCCCTAACAGATTTGAGGTTATATCTCACTGTAGCTTTGACTTATATTTTCCTGATGATTAGTGATATTGAGCACATTTTTATCTGTTAGCCAGTTTTATGTCTTCTTTGAAGAGGTGCCTATTCAAGTCATTTGCTCATTTTTTTTAGGTGATATTTTTCGTTTTCTATTTTTTTCCCTTTGGCTATTGAATAGTGTGACTTCCTTACATGTTTTGGATATTAAACCATGGTATTTTTTCACAGAACAGGAAAAACAATTCTAGAACTCACATAGAACCACAAGTGACTCTGTATAGCCAAAGAAATCTTGAAAAAGAAAAGCGCAGTGGGAGGCATTAGGCTTCCTGATCTCAAATTTTATTACAAAACTTAGTAATCAAAATGACATAATGTTGGCATAAAAACAGTTACATAGAGCAATGGGACAGAATAGATAAACCAGAAATAAACCTAAGCATATATGATCAGCTAGTTTTCAACAAGGACACAAAGAAGACACAATGGAGAAAGAATAATATCTTCAATAAATGATACTGAGAAAACTGGATCTCCACAGACAAAAGAATGAAATTGGACTTTTACCCTACATCACAAACTCAACTCAAAATGGATTAAAGACCTGGATGTAAGTCCTGAAATTATAAAGCTGGAAGGAAACATAGGGGAAAATCTCCTTAACACTGGCCATGGCAATGATATTTTTGTATATTTTAGTAAAAAATTAGGCGACGAAAGCAAAATAAACAAGTGGAACTGCATCAAATTAACAGCAAAGTAAATACAGTGAAACAACAACAACAAAATGAAAAGGCAGCTTACATATTGGGAGAAAATATTTTTTAGTTTAAGAAATTTTATTATTCTAAGTTGTATTTTCTTACATTTTATTTTATTGTTTCTTCTGTAAATCTTTCCTTTTTTAACTTTGAATAATTTTAGATGTACCATTATATAAATTTCTTTTCTTTCTTTCTTTCTTTTTTTTTTTTTTTTTTTTTTTTTTTTTTTTTGGAGAGAAGGTCTAACTCTGTAACTCTGTCACATAGCCTGGAGTGCAATGGTGCAATCATAGCTCACCACAAATTTGAACTCCTAGGTTCAAGGAATTCTCCTGCCTCAGCTTCCCAAGTAGGTATGTGTCACAGTGGCTTGCTAATTTTTTGTTTTTTAAATTTTTTTTGGAGAAAGGATTTCCCTATGTTGCTGAGGCTGATCTTGAACTCCTGACTTCAAGCCATCCTTCTGCTTCAGCCTCCCAAAGTGCCAGGATTACAGGTGTGAGCCACTGTACCCGGCCTGTATAATATATTTCTGATTGTTAATCAGGTTGTTAATCTGGCTTTTGTTGTGTCTACTGACACTCCTTTGTTAGAAATTCTTGTGACATTTTAAGTTTTGAAATGTGAAGTCTTCTTAGATCTTTTCCAGTGGAAGTTGTTTGATGAGGTTCAGGATATGCTACTCCAAAATGTGGCACATTGGCATATTGAAGATTTTAAGCTGAAGGAATTTGAGAAACAAAAGGCAGATGCAGAAAGGAGTCTCTGACTTTCCTTCTTTCTCCCTTCTCCCCTTAAGTGGGTCATAGGACCCTCATGTAAGAGATTCCCTCCCAATACCTGGAGGAAAGGAGCATCCTGTCTCTAAAGATGGAAGGATGTCAAGAGAGATCCAAATCCAAAAGAGCAAGGATTGCTAAATTTTCCCCAGTTTTTTACTCTTAGCTCATGCCCTGTTTGTCCTACCATATTTTTCCAGGACTTTCCACTCTTCATCAAACCTAGTATAAAAACACTCAGGTTTAACAATTTCTTTGGGTCTTCGTTGTTTTATGAAGGCCCTTGTGTTATGTAAAACTTTTAAATTTTTATGCTTTTCTCTTGTTAACCTTTTGTAACAGAGACCTTCCTGATAATCAAAAAGAGTAGAAGAAGAATACATATTTTAGTACGTAGTATATATTGTCTAGCATCCTCACTAAATTTTACTCTTAAGTCTGAAATTATTTACATGTGTAGGAATTTGAATGCATAATTACTTTTTCAAGCATGGACTGTATAATTCAATAAGGAGAAGCAAGTTACTTTTAGATCTAGATATTATTAGCTAATTTTATGAGATTTAACTATTACACCATATTAAATTAAGCTCTGACCATAAACAAAATTTTATAAAATGTAAGACTTTTAGCATTTTGGATATCTATACTTTTATATTCCAATGTATTTCATTTATTATGCTTTAATAAGATTTTAAGTAGAATGTGAGTCTCTTTTAACTTGAGCTTACTGTGTGTGTCTTGGTAAGTGATTTAATATTTCTGAGACATTACCTCATAGGAATAACAAATTCAAATACAGAAAATGAATCGAGTTGGGGCCTAAATCCTAATGAAGAAGTATGTACCTGCATAATCACATTGAATGCAGAAGAGATTTCATTCACATTTTAACTGAACAAAAAAATCATTACTTAAAATCATATATTGTTTTTTAAAAAATTATTGACTACAGTAGTTGCCATTTTCATTTTTCATTTTCAGTAGTTGCAGTTTCATTTTCCATGGTTTTTAGACTACCCTGGTAGTCTGAAAAAATTACATAGAAAATTCAAGAAATAAACACTTTACAAATTTTAAACTGTATGCTGTTCTGAGTGTCATGGTGAATTTACATCATGCAGCTCCATCCCACCACCAACGTGCATCATGCCTTTGTCCAATGTATCCATGCTGCATATGTTAGTCATTCAGTAGTTATGGGTTATCAGATTAGCCTTCAAGATATCACAGTGCTTGTGTTCCAGTAACCGTTATTTTACTTAACGATCTTAAAATACAAGACTAGTGCTGCTGGCAATTTGGATATGTCAAAGAAAAGCCACGAAATACTTTTTTAAATGAAAATGTCAAGGTTCTTGACTTCATAAGGAAAGAAAAAAATTGTATGCTGAGGCTTCTAAGATTTATGGTAAGGAAGAAAATCTATCCATGAAATTGTGAAGAAAAAGAAAGAAATTTGTACTAATTTTGTTGTCACACCTCAAACTGCAAAAGTTACAACCGCAATGTGTAATCAGTGCTTAGTCAAGATGGAAAGGACTATTAAATTTGTGGGTGGAAAAGATGAACAGAATGGTGTTTTAATTGCTGGCAATTGTATTGTTAGTTCTATCTGTGGTTTCAAAACTCCACTGGGGTCTTGGAATGTTTCCCCCAAAGATAAAGGGGGACTACTGTACTTAGTATGTGTCAAGAAGTGTGCTAGATACTGGGAATTCACTGGCAAAGAAAATATGACGTATTTTCTACCCTTATGACTCACACAATAGTGGAAAATATGAGCACCTAATGATACAATAACAGAAAAAAATATGAAATTACAACTGAGTCATAAATTCAAAAATGGAATAAACACAGGAGCTCTAAGAGTAGATGGTAGAGAGATATAGCCTAATCTGTAGAGTCAAGAAGTGCTTCCCTGAGGAAATGCTGCTGGAGGAAATATTTTTTAAAATTAGCTAGAAGAAAATGAGAGGCAATTGGGAGTGGTGGTGAATGTTTGGAAGATGGAACAATAGCAATTGATACATCTTTAACTTCAGGGAGTTGAGAAAAGGGCAACACACTTAAAGCTTGCTGAGTATAAGGGGACCATGATGCATGATGGGGTTTGGAAATAGGTGGGACATGTATCATGCAGGATTTTGAGGCCATAATGAGAGTTTTGGCTTTTCATGTAGGAATCATTGAAAATTTCACAGGTGCACATAGGCAAGGGAGTTTTCAAGAAAGGCTTCTATTTGAAAATGACTATTCTTTTCATCTTTGGTGTCTAATTTATTGTTAATCTCATCTTAAATATTTTTATCTCAGGTACTGCATTTTTCATCTCTAGGTGTTCAATTGCATCTTTAAAAATATCTTTCATGTTTTTCTATAAAATGCATATTTTTCCTTTTCCTCCTTGATTATATGTAATATATTGGTGATAGTTTTTTTTTAGCATCATTGTCTTCTAAACCTACATGTGTCTAAATCTATATGTGTCATTCTTGAGACTGTTTTTAATGACTGCTTTTTTATCTCATTAGAGAACTTATTTTTTTTCTATTTTGTACCTTCCCTGCAATTTTTAATTGAATGCTATATACATTGACGATTTTGCTTTGTTGAGTGCTAGAATTTTTGTATTTCTTTATACGTTTGAATTCTTTTCTGGAACACAGTTAAGTTACTTAGAAACAACTTGATGATCTTTTTAAGGCTGAGTTTAAGCTTTGTTAAGCAAAATTCAGAGTAACATCTTAGTCTAAGGTTAATTTGGCCCCACTACTGAGGTAATACTTTTCTGAGGACTCTATTTGATGCCCCATGTGTTAGGAGGCTTTTCCACTCTGGCTCATGTGAACAGGAACCAATCCCAGTCCTTTATGAATTCTGGAGCTTATTACTCTTGTATCATTTCTGGTGGTCTTTGCCTGGCCTTGTATAGTTTCCTCACTGGAAGCTCTGTCCAGATAGTAAGCATGGGCAATTATAAGGCTCATCACTGCCCTGGTCTGCCTGTAATCCTATATTTAAAAATAATGTTTCATATATTTACTTCCCTCAGTTGTTTAGAGTGGGCTAAATTTTGGGTAGGAAGGTGAATTAAATGCCTGTTAATGCATTAATACCTGAAAAGAAATGGGAAGCAGATTTCAGATATTAAATCTCGCTATTGTGTGTGCGTAGGATATTTCAAAATGTTTGATTTCCACCTCTTCTAAAAGAATGTAATCTCTATGAGGGTAGAGACTTTGTATAGTTTTCTTATTGCCATGTACACAGACACTGTAATAGAGTCTAGCGTATAGTAGGGGCTCAGTGAGTAAAACTGAATCTATTTTGCATGTGGGCCTCAATTTGATGGGATTAACAATAAAGTAGATACCATAGATGAAAATAATATATATATATATACACATACACACACACACACTTATTTTTGTTTTATACTAAAAATTTTTAACTTTCTGCTAAATAACATATCAACTGATTTTATCTTCTCAAATTTATTCTTCACCAAAACCACAGCTATCAAAATATACAAATTATCAGAAATTGTGAGATTATTAATTTCTAAGTATTATCTTCAAACTTTCACTTAAATGTTTTTATTCTTTTTCAGTATTTCTCAAAAATTCAACAAAATTTAGCCTATTAAGTCACTAAGTCACAGGTGTATCGAATTAGCTTTGCTCAAGAACTGGTAATAATTTTTCCTACCAATTGAGAAGCGGGAATTGCTATTGTCGTTCATTTTCTGTTCCTAGTTTCATCTCAGTGGCTAAAATTGCCTGGTCTAAATATGTCTCAATTTGATGTTATTGCTATACTTCAGTGAAAAATAAGCAAACAAAGAAACAAGCTAAATAAATACAATTAAGATAGAAATTTCTTTAATATTATTCTAGAAAATTGTCAAATGAGAAAAGCTACTTTTACTGCTGATCAGAATATTGCTGTGAACTGGAAGATTAAAAAATTATAGGAACTCCTATTACATGAGTTGTGGAGAGGAAAATAAATACAACCAAACCAAGTCTCTTTGGGAAGTAATTGTGTCATTTACTAGGGAAACTAGCCTGGTAAACAATTTCTGATGAGTAACGTATTTTTAAATATATCTTTCTTTGAGACAGGATCTCTTTGCTCTGTTGCCCAGGCTGGAGAGCAGTGGCAAGATCATGACTCACCACAGCTTCAGCCTCCTGGGCTTTAAGCGATCCTCCCACCTCAGCTTCCCAAGTAGCTTAAATGAATATATGTTTATAATATTTTTGGTAATTGAATTACTTTCTCTGGTATTGCATTGAGTATATTCTTATTAATATAGTGTTTGACTATAAGTAAAATATGAACAAATTTGATACCAGACAATGAAAACTGTGACATGATTTTCACATGCATCATTTCTGATATAGGTGAAATAAAATTCCTATTATTATTTCTGAAATTTTTGAAAAATTATTATTTTTAAAACTTTGAAAGAGCATTATTGGTCCTACTGAGAATAGTACAAAAACTTCCTTTCCTATTTCATGGTTATTCTTTTCCAGACTTACTGTGCTTACAGAGCCTAACTCCAAGTCAAGAAATAAAATGAATAATTCTTTATTATCATAGATAAATCCAAGTTTCAGGAAAGTCACATAAAAGGCATATTCATAGCAAAGATATACAATTTATTCATGGTCACCAAGTTAAGGGCAGTATAAAATATTTATTAAGTATTGTAAGTTTTTGTTTGTTTAAAAAATGTACATGTTCTCTTGAATTGAGAAATGTTCTCCATTGGGCTTAAATACATATAAAATGGAAAACATAGAACATACAAACATTGACATATACTGGACCTAAAGGCATCCTGTCATTGGGTTTGGGCTCAATATCGATTGATTTAGATACTTTCTAAGTGCTCATATATTTTCCTATGGTTAAAGCTTGATCCTGTTCTTTGGTCAATTAGGAATTTTTTTTGGAAGTACAGGTAACTATGGTGTCAGAATTAGTTGATGTCTTTTTAAAATTAAACTATACTTCTCCAGTAAGAAATTATGTTATATAGATACTACTGTGTTATATCATAAGAATATTATATACATTCTTAAAATCATAAATATTTAAGAGTTTTCATTAAATATTCCTAGTATGAAATAAAATGTAAATGATGTCTTAACTTATATGACAAGCTCTTGGATGATGATATGGTTTGGATCTGTGTCTCCACTCAAATCTCATGCTGAACTGTAATCCCTAATGTTGGAGGTGGGGGTGGTGAAAGGTGATTGGATCATGGGGGCAGATTTCCTGCTAGGTGCAGCTCTAGTGATAGTGAGTGAGTGCTCAAGAAATCTAGTTGTTGAAAAGTGTGTGGCACCTCTCCATTCTCTCTCTTCCTCCTACACCAGCCATGTAAGATGTGCCTGTTTCCCCTCACCTTCCACCATGCTTTTGTTTCCCGAGGCCTCGCCTGAAGCCGAGCTGATGCCAGCATCATGTTTCCAGTACAGCTTGCGGAACTGTGAACCAATCAAACTGCTTTTATTTACAAATTACCCTGTCTCAGCTATTTCTTTGTAACAGTGTGAGAACCAACTAATACAGATAATATATTTTTTGTAGTAATTTTAAACCACTCATAACAAATTAAGGCATTCTTCTAAGAAACATATGTTTAAATTAGTAAACCCATCCGAAACACACAGTTCTTTTGACCTCAGATTATGCATTAATCAAGCTTCAATTCTTGCAACTTTTCAACTTACGACATGATTTCCTGGCTAAAAATGTTTTTTAAAAATACCTTTTTCTTAGACCTTTTTCTTAAAAATATAAGCAATTTCAACATACAGAATAACATATAAATTAATGTATTCTACATCATATTTTATTAAATCTTAATTTCAGATTTCATGTGTATATATTCATAAGCCCTACCTAGAATTGTTTTGAGATTTTTAGGTTTTATTTTTTATTTTATTTATTTTATTATTTTATTTATTTATTTATTTATTTTTGAGACAGGGTCTCGCTCTGTCACCAGGCACCCAGGCTGGAGCACAGTGGCATGATCTTGGTTCACTGCAACCTACATCTCCTGAGTTGAAGTGATTCTCCTACCTCAGCCTACTGAGTAGCTGGTATTACAGGCAATCGCCACCACACCCAGCTAATTTTTGTATTTTTAGTAGAGATGGGGTTTCACCATGTTGGCCAGGCTGGTCTTGAACTTGTGATCTCAACTGATCCACCTACCTCAGCCTCCCAAAGTGCTGGGATTACAGGGAGAAGCCACTGCACCCACCTGAGATTTTTAGGCTTTAAATGACTGCTGTTATACTACCTATCTTTTTGGCAACTTACTTTGATCTATGTGTGTTCTTTGACTAGGTAATGTTGATATATGCCATTCCATTTCATTCATTTAAATTGTAGCATAGTATTTGATTAGAGGATTTAAAGAAATAAAAGATCTATCCATTTTTAACTTGATGAGCATGTAGTCCTTTTTCTGTTTTTCAATTAAAATGTCACAGTTAACATTGAATACTAGTATAAATATGTGTGAGACTTTCTCTTGGTTGTGGATGTACAAGTAGAGTTTTTGGTTGGTAGAATATTTTTCATCTACAATATTATTAGATGTTGTCAAGATGCTTTCCAGAATAGTCTACCATTTACACTTCCATCAAGAGTGTATGAGAATCCCCATCACTGCGTTATCATTAATATTTGTTAATATAAAACATTGATATTTTGCCAATGTTCATGCTCTAATAATAGCTCATTGATATTTTAATTTTCATTTCCTTAATTACTACTGGAAATGAGAATCATATCATGTCCATTAGACATTTTGACAAGATTTTCAATAAATTTCCTATTGTAGTACTTATCGTCACTGAATTAATTTATAAGTTTTTAAAAATATATTCTGGATAACCATCCTTTATCTTAGCTCAAATGCAAAGTAAATAGCTTCTTCAAGCATATCCACTATTTTTGCTACAGGTATTTTTTTTGTTGTGCAGATTTTCTTTTTACTTTTTGTTTTGTTATTCTTATCATTTTTAAGAAATTGGTTAGTTTTAAGTGTTCAATATGATATTCTTTTATATAGATACGTAGCTATGTGATCATCTACTTGACCAAGGTATAGAAAATTTCCAGTACCTTACAAAGTTGACTTGTGCCTATTTTCCATCAGTACTTCCATCAACCTCTAGAAGTAACCAATATATTGATTACCACCATATATTATATTCCTCTGTTCTTGAATTTCACATAGCTGAAATCATGCAATATATACTAGTCTACATCTAGCTTCTTCCACTTAACATTCGGTCTGTGAGAGGTTCATCCACATCATTGCATGTAACTGTCATCTTTTTCTTTTTCATTGATGTGGTAGCTTAGGAACCAGGCAATAACTTATGTTGTATTTGTAAGCAGATTTTTGTGCTTCTTTCTGTATTGTCCTCTTACATTCAGGACTTTGCCCCTTATTTTCAGCTACTTTTGTCTTCCCAGGTCTCTGACCTTGGTTTTTCCTGACAATACGACCACAGCCTTCTTCTTGGGTTCTCAACTCCTGCAGGAAAAACTTGGAAATGGCCTCACGAAAATGACAGGGCTTATGTGAATTTCACTTCCTGTGCTTCTCTTCTTTCAAGAATAGTAACCCCTTAGTTACTTCCTACATTTTCCACTTCCTTCAGACTATTTTCTTCTATTTTGTACCATTTGAATAATTGTTTTTGACAAGAAAGTTATTTTGATACCAGCCATTCTATTATCTCTGAATTATGGAAGACCCTGTCTGTGTAAATGTTTTAAATTGCAGTGTGGTTAATTTTTCTTATCTTTTCCTTTCAGATGATTTGTGTCTTCTTAAAAATGCAGTCTAACTGTGGACTCGTAAACACATTTAAACATTTTTTATATAATTTTTTTAAGATTGTGCTTTTTTGTTTTAAACTGTGACTGAGCTGGATCCAATTCTTGTATATATGTTTTATTTGGATGTAATTTTTTTCTCATATAAACAGTTGCTTGAGCAAATGATTTATTAAATAGTGGATAGGCTATATAATTCTGCTTAAATATGCATAGAAAGTATTATGTATTAATAGAGTAAATTTTTTAAATATGCATTTCAATTACATTTATTGTGATGTTTATTATGCAAGGCACTGTGATGAGTACAGCAGAGCCTGTAACTGCATTTTTGGGGCTGGATTGTGTTAAATCAGAATATTCAAATTCTAAAGTAATGCCCTATCACTGAGGAATCACTTTGGCTCTATTTGAATGATGCAACCTCTTTATGGGTCAGGGTTCTTCAGAGAAACAGAACCAATAGGATAATAGATATGTTTGCAGGTACATATATATGTATGTGTGTACATACAGGTTTAGTTAGTATCCCTTATTTAAATTTAGGACTAGAAGTGTTTTGAATTTTAGATTCAATTTTTAAATTTAGAAATATTTGCATATGCATGAGATATCATATGTATATGCAAATATCTTAGAATGAGACCCAAGTCTAAACAGAAAACTTATTTTATGCATTATATATATATACATATATACTGAAGGTAATTTTATATGAATATATATGCATTACTGAAGGTAATTCGTATGTATATATACATATGTACTGAAGGTAATTTTACACAGTATTTTAAATAATTTTGTGTAAGAAACAATGTTTATGTACATTGAACTAACAGAAAGCAAAGGTGCCACTATCTCAGCCACCCATGTGGATAATCTGTGATTGTCTGGCATCACTGTTATTCCTGACTCTGAGTTTATAAGTTACCAATAACTATTTTGTTACACTTAAGTACTTAACAGTAAAAAATATATACCTCTAATAAAGTTAAAAACAATGTGTTCAGCGTAACTAAGCAGTGCAGTAGCATCACCAGATACTTGTATCAGCTGTTAAACAACAGAACAACAAACATGGCCAGCTTTTAGTCTTCATCCACTATGGTGTGTTTTGATGAAAAGGTTACTCTAAACTGTATTTTACTTTTTAGGTGAGAAGAAACATGAGAAGCAGCTGAGAGACTAGGAAGTGAATCCTCTAGGGATGACTAGGCATTCTGCTAGGTGGCTTTTTAAAATGTTTCCTCCAGAGTCATCTGCCTAACTAATAGCAGTTTTCTGGTCTCAAAAGTCTCTCTTTGATTTTATAAACTGCAGTCATTTCTTATTATGTTATGAATGAACACAGCTTTAGTACTTCAACAAGCCCATCACATATTTTCAATATGTTGGAGTGGAAATGGAAGTGGCGGTGAGTGGTGCCATTTCAACTTCTACCCCTTGACTCATGGACCCGTGAATCCTACCTACGGGAGAAACAACACCATGTATTGGACGATGATTTAAAGCATACGTGGCTTTCTAGAGAACTTTGCCCCAACCATGCAAAGTATTTATCACCTTGGACTCATCTGTGGTAATTTCCCCGGTGCCAGAATGCATAATTGGCTGAGACATACTTAGTAGCTGGCAGAACCCCCACATTGGCTCCCTGACTGGTAGGGTGAGGGCTATTATGGCAGGAAAGGACAAATGGAAGCCATTAGAGCTGCCTCTACCTAGAAGAATAATAAATCAAAAACAATACTGTATCCCTGGAGGGATTGTGGAGATTACTGCCTGCCACCATGAAGGACTTGAAAAACGCGGGGTGGTGATTCCCACCACATCCCTGTTCAACTCTCCCATTTGGCCTGTGCAGAAGACAGATGGATCCTGGAGAATGACAGTGGATTATCATAAACTTAACCAAATGGTGACTCCAGTTGCATCTGCTGTAGATGTGGTTTCATTGCTTTAGCAAATTAACACATCTCCTGGTACCTCGTATGCAGCCATTGACTTGTCAAATGCCTTTTTCTCGTTTCCCATACATAAGGCCCACCAGAAGCAATTTGCCCTCAGCTGAAAAGGCCAGAAATATACCATTACTCTCCTACCTCAGAGGTATATCAACTCTCTGGCTTTGTGTCATAATCTTATTTGGAGAGAGCTTGATCACTTTTTGGTTCCACAAGATATCACACTGGTCCATTACACTGATGAAATTACATTGATTGGATGCAGTGAGCAAGAAGTAGCAAACATACTGGACTTATTGGTGAGACATCTGTGAGCCAGAGGATGGGAAATAAATCTGACTAAAGTTCAGGGACTTTCTACCTCAGTAAAATTTCTAGGGGTCCAGTGGTATGGGGACTGTCGAGATAGTCCTTCTATCTTGACAGGCTCCACACCAAGGATAAGTGATAAAGTAAAGCACAGGTTGCTGCATTTGGCCCCTTCTAAAACCAAGAAAGAGGCATAACACCTAGTGGATCTATTTGGATTTTGGAGGCAACACATTCCTCATTTGGGTATGTTACTCTGGCTCATTTATTGAGTGACCTGAAAGGCTGCCAGTTTTGAGTACAGTCCAGAACAGGAGAAGGCTCTGCAATGGGTCCAGGCTCCTGTGCAAGCTGCTCTGCCTCTTTGGCCATATGACCCGGAAGATCAAATGGTGCTTGAGGTGTCAGTGGCAGACAGGGATGCTGTCTGGAGCCTTTGGCAGGTCCCCATAGGTGAATCACAGTGGAGGCCTTTAGGATTTGGAGCAAGGTCCTGCCATCTTCTGCAGATAACCACTCTCCTTTTGAGAGACAGCTCTTGGCCTGTTACTGGGCTTTGGTGGAAACTGAATGTTTGACTATGGGTCATCAAGTCACCATGAGACCTGATCTGCCTATCATGAACTGGGTGCTTTCTGACCCATCTAGCCATAAAGTGGATTTTGGACAGCAGCATTCCAACATCAAATGGAAGTGGTATATATGTGATCAGGGTCGAGCAGGTCCTGAAGTACGTAAGGCACAGGTAAATTACTTGAGGAAGTGGCTCAAATGACCACGGTCTCCACTCCTGCCACTCCTGCCACCCTGCCTTCTCTCCTTCAGCCCACACCAATGGCCTCATGAAGAATCCCCTATGATCAGTTGACAAAGGAAGAGAAGACTAGAGCCTGGTTCACAGATGATTCTGCAAAATATGCAGGCACCACCCAAAAGTGGACAGCTGTAGCACTACAGCCCCTTTCTAGAACATCCCTGGAGGACAGTGGTGAAGAGAAATCTTCCCAGTGGGCAGAACTTCCAGTAATGCACCTGGTTGTGCACTTTGCGTGGAAGGAGAAATGGCCAGACGTGCTATTATATACTTATTCATGGGCCATAGTGAATGGTTTGGCTAGATGGTCATGGACATGGAAGAAGCATGATTGGAAAATTGGTGACAAAGAAATGTGGGGAAGAGGTGTGTGGATGGACTTTTCTGAGTGGTCAAAAACTGTGAAGATGTTTGTATCCCATGTGAGTGCTCACCCATGGGTGACCTCAGCAGAGGATTTTAATAATCAAGTGGATAGGATGACCCATTCTGTGGACACCACTCAGCCTCTTTCTCTAGCCACCCTGTCATCACCCAATGGGCCCGTAAACAAGTGGCCATGGTGGCAGGGATGGAGGTTATGCACGGGCTCAGCAACATGGACTTCCACTCACCAAGGCTGACCTGGCTATGGCCACTGCTGAGTACCCAGTTTGCCAACAGCAGAGACCAACATTGAGCCCTTGATACGGCAGTATTCCTCAGGGTGTTGAGCCAGCTACCTGGTGGCAGGTTGATTATATGGGACCTATTTTATCATGGAAAGGGCAGAGGTTTATCCTCACTGGAATAAACACTTACTCTGGATATGCATTTTCCTCTCCTGCACACAATGCTTCTGCCAAGACTACCATCATGGACTCACGAAATGACTTATCCACCATCATGTTATTCCACACAGCATTGGATCTGACCAAGGCACTCACTTTATGGATAAAGAAGTATGGCGTGGACTCATGCTCGTGGAATTCACTGGTCTTACTATGTTTCCCATCATCCTGAAGCAGCTGTATTGATAGAACGGTGGAATGGCCCTTTGAAGTCACAATTACAATGCCAACCAGGTGACAATACCTTGCAGGGCTGAGGCAGAGTTCTCCAGAAGGCTGTGTATGCTCTGAATCAGCGTCCACCATGTGGTACTGTTTTTCCCATACCCAGGATTCATGGGTCCAGGAATCAAGGGGTGGAAGTGGAAGTGGCACCACTCACCATCACCCCTAGTGATCCACTAGCAAAATTTTTGCTTCCTGTTTCCGTGACATTATGTTCTCCTGGCCTAGAGGTCTTAGTTCCAGAGGGAGGAACGCTGCTGCCAGGAGACACAACAATTGCATTAAACTGCAAGTTAAGATTGCCACCTGGACACTTTGGGCTACTCCTACTTTTAAGTCAACATGCTAAGAGGGGAGTTACAGTGTTGACTGGGGTGATTGACCCAGACTATCAGGACGAAATCAGTTTACTACTCCACCACAGAGGTAAGGAATAGTATGCATTGAATACAGGAGATCCATTAGGGCATCTCTTAGTATTAACATGCCCAGTGATTAAGGTCAATGGGACGCTAAAACAGCCCAACCCAGGCAGAACTACAAATGACCCAGACCCTTCAGGAATAAAGGTTTGGGTCATTCCACCAGGAAAAAAAAAAATGACCTGCTGAGGTGCTTGCTGAAGTCAAAGGGAATACAGAATGGGTAGTGGAAGAAGGTAGTCATTAATACCAGCTACTACCACATGACCAGTTGCAGAAACAAGGACTGTAATTGTCATGAGTATTTCCTTCTGTTGTTAAAAACACATTTGTCCATGTGTACACTTGTGCTAAGGAAAATCTTCATTTTATTTCCCTTTTCCTTTATCATGTGACATAAGATTTATTGACTTCATATCAGCATTTAAGTATTGTTAACTTTATATACTAGCAATTTGATTGGGGATTGGTGCATTCCAGTTGTGTGAATGATAGTTGTATTATGTTAGGCATAATTATGACCATATTATTGTCTTTATTTGAAGATTATGTATGATCTCAGGAGATGTGTATGGGTTCAAATTGATAAGGGGTGGATTTGTGATAGTTAATACTGAGTGACAACTTGATTGGATTGAAGGATGCAAAGTATTGATCCTGGGTGTGTCTGTGAGTGTGTTGCCAAAGGAGATTAACATTTGAGTCAGGGGGCTTGGAAAGCCAGACTCAACCTTAATCTGGGTGGGCACCATCCGAGGAGCTTTTTGGCTCCTCAGCTTGCAGATGGCCTATTGTGGGACCTTGTGATCGTGTAAGTTAATACTACTTAATAAACTCCCATATATATAGAACTATATATCTATATTATATAAAGATATATCTATATATAATGTACTTTCCTCAGTTTTATTCTTTTTTCTCAGAATGGATTTGGCTATTGTATTAGTCTGTTTTTGCATTGCTATAAAGAACTATCTGAAACTGGATAATTTATAAAGACTAGATAATTTATTGAGAAAATTGACTCACAGTTCCATAGGCTGTACAAAAAGTGTGGCTGGAAAAGCCTCAGGAAACATATAATCATAGTAGAAGGCAAAGGGGAAGCAGGCACATCTCACATACTGGATCAGAATGCAGAGAGCACGAAGGGTGAGGTGCTACACACTTTTAAACAACCAGATTTGTGGTTACCACGAGGCTTGCAATTAACATCTTATAACCCATTATTTTGAACTGATGACCACTTAACATTGATTACAAAAACAAACAAAAAACTAACAAAAAAGCAAAGAGAGCAGTAATAAAAACTATACACTTATGTCATCCTCCATATGACCACCACCTGTTTATTGCCAATGTTCACTCAATGCCCAGGGGTTCTTTAATCAGCAGGTTGATAATTCAGCCAGGCTTGTGTCCTATCTTTTTAAATTCGGTTGTATCTATTTATATCTTATTATATAGTCTGTGTCTTGAAAAGTTGCTGTAGTTATTATTTTTGGTAGACTCATGTTTTAGTCTTTCTACTCAAGATATGATTAGTTTATCCACCACAAATGCAGCGTTATAATATTCTGTGTTTGTGTACTTACTATTGCCAGTGAGTTTTGTACCTTCAGATGATTTCTTATTGCTTGCTAACATCCTTTTTTTTCAGATTGAAGAATTCCCTTTAGCATTTTTTATAGAAAAGGTCTGGTTTTTATAAAACCTCTCAATTTTTTGTTTGTCTGGGAAATATTTAATTTTCTTTCACATTTAAAGAATGTTCTCACTGAATAAACTATTCTAGAATGAAAATATTTTTCCTTCAGCACTTTAAATATGTCACGCCACTCTCTCCTGGCTTGTCAGTTTCCCACTGAGAAGTCTGCTGCCAGAAATATTGGAGCTCCTTTCTATGTTATTTGCTATTTGTTTCCTTGTTGTTTGTTTTAGGAGCTTTTCTTTATCCATGAACTTTGGGAGTTGGATTGCTAAATGCCTTCAGGTAGTCTTTGGGTTAAATCTAATTGTAGTTACATTTGACTCCTATGCTTAAATATTGACACCTTTCTTTAGGTTTGGAAAGTTCCCTTTGAATAAACTTTCCACCCTGATCTCTCTTCCTACTTCCTTTAAGGCAAATAACTCTTAAATTTGACCTTTTGAGGCTATTTTATTCCTCTTGTAGGTGTGCTTCATTTTTTTAAATATTCTTTTTACTTTTGTCTCCTCTGTGTATTTTTAAATAGCCAGAGTTCAAGCTCACTCACTCTTTCTTCCGCTTGATCAATTCTGCTGTTGAGAGAATCTAATGCATTTTTAGTATGCCAATTGAATTTTTAGCCTCAGAATTTCTGCTTGGTTTTTAAACATTATTTCAATCTCTTTGTTAAATTTAACTGATAGGATTCTGGACTCCTTTTCTGGGTTACATTGAATTTCCTTGAGCTTCCTCAAAACACCTATTTCAGATTTTCTGTCTGAAAGATCACATATCTCTGTCATGCTTGGATTGGTCACTGTTTTATTTCGTTCATTTAGTGAGATCATATTTTTCTCCATGGTGCTGATACTTGTGGATGTACATCAGTGTCTGGCCATTGAAGAATTAAGTGTTTGTTGTAGTCTTCACAGTTTGTGCTTGTTTGTACCCATCTGGGGAGGGGGGGGCCAAGCACCCCTGTGGCCACCACCACTGGAACTGTGCTGCATCAGACCCGAAGCCATCACAGCTCTGGGTCTCACCCAAGGCCCGTGGTGACCACCACCTGTTTATTGCCAATGTTCACTCAATGCTCAGGGGCTCTTTAATCAGCAGGTGGAGAATTCAGCCAGCCTTGTGTCCTATCTTTCAGGGTGGTAAGCTCCCCTCTGGCCCACGGCAGGTCCCAGAATGCTGTCTGGGAGTAGGGCCTGGAGTCAGGAACCTTAGGAATCTACTTGTTGCTCTATTCTACCACAGCTGAGCTGGCACTCATGCTACAAGATAAAGTTATTCCCATTCTTCTCTCTATTTTCCTTATACAGAATGAGTCTCTTCCCATGGCCTGTAGTAATTACTGCATAGCTGCCACCAATGTTCACTCAAGGCCCAAAGGCTCTTCAGTCAGTCAACTTCTGGTGAATACTATCAGGCCTGGGTCTCTCTCTTCAAGGCAATGGGCTCCATTTTGGCCAAGAATGGGTCTAGAAGGGCCATTCAGGGTATAAGCCCTGAAATCAGGGATCCCAGGAGCCCACTTGGTGCTCTATACCACTGTGGTTGAGCTCGTACCCAAGATGCAAGACAAAGCCCTCTTTACTCTTCCCTCTCTTTTCCTCAAGCAGGAGTCTCTTCCCATGGCCACCACACCTGGGAATGTGCTGGGTCATAACTGAAGCTAGCACAGCTCTAGATCTCACCCAAGGCTCATGGTGAGAAGTGTCTGGGTGCCAATGATGTTTATTCAAGTCCCCAGGGCTCTTTAGACAGCAGGTGATAAATCGTTCCAGGACTGGATCCTTACCTTCAAGGAAGCAGGTTCCCTCTGGCCAAGAGTATGTCTTGAAGTGTTGCTGGGGGATAGGGCCTGGAATAGGGGCCTCAGGATTCTGCCTGGTGCCTTATTCTACTGTGGCTGAACTGATATCCAGTTTGTAAGAAAAAGGTCTCTTTTCTCTTCCCTCTCCTTGCTTCAAGGGGAAGGAAAGGGTCTCTCCTGGAGATGTGAGCTGCATTGTAGGGGGTTTAGGAAAGGGGTGGTGCAAGCGCTCCCTTGGCCACGCTGGCTGGTAACTCATTAGGTCATGTGCATTCCAAATCCACTGGCTGTGAGCCCAGCACAGCACCAAGACTTGCCCAGGATTGCAGGCCTTGTGGAGTAGACTGCCTTTCAAGTTTACTTAGAACTCTAGAGCACTTTAGCCTCTGGTGGTAGGGCTTGCTGGAGCTTAGGTTTCAACTGCTATGATGGGCAATTCCTCTTTGACTGGGTGAGTGATTCCTCTCTGGCCTAAATGCTTCCTCTGTGGGCACCAGCTGAATTCTTTCCTTTGTTGCTTTCTGCTCTGACAGGACAGCACTGAGTTCCAATGTGAAGTTCCACAATCACTGTGATCTCTCTCTCCTAAGCATACAGATTCTCTCTGCATGCAACATGACCTCTTCCAGAAATGGGAGAAGGGTGGTGTTGGCAATTCAAAACTGTCTTTACTACCATTTTCAGTGTTTCTTTCTTTAATATGATGTTAAAAGCAGGTGCCGTGGTTATTCACTTTATTTTTGATTCTTGTGAAGTTGCTTCCTTGTATGGATAGTTGTTCAATTTGGTGTTACTGCCAGGAAGATGATCGCTGGAGGCTTCCATTTAGCCATCTTGGTACACCACCTCCCATAGACACTTTTTGTTACGAGAATTTTAGCTGTGGATGAGCAGAGCAGTTGTCAAGGAATAAAAATTTTGTAGTCATCGTCCGGTCCAGCTTCCCTGAAGTGAACATAAACTGCTTGCACAAAATGTTTATTAAACCAATCAGAAAAGATGTCCCTGGTGATCCATGCCTATTTGTTAGCATATGAACACATTGGTTAGAAATTTGATTTTTAAAAACAAAATACCCAAGCTTTTGCCTATCACAACAAGTTTGCACTTACGCATGCCTGCCATATTGGTACATCCCAGTACAGGTATTCTGTCCTTGTCATCTTTAATTCCTGTAGGGGCTTTCTCATCAGCTGTAGTCAGTGTCTTTCTGGGCAATAATGATTTTTAATTAGCCAAAAAATGATGTTTAATTAGCATCATGGACTTGTCCTGATATCAGATTTTTTTTATCAGCAATAACCTTGGCAAAGTCATCAATGAATTTCTCTGCAGCTTTATGATCAGCAGATGGTTTATCACCACAAATCTTTAAAAATTTAGAGCTGGTCCTTTCCTTAAATCTCTGCAACCAGCCTATTGAATATACATGATTGCCTTCAATTTTCAGTTCATTGTCATAAATATTTGCTTATTTCATGATTATCCTACCATTAAGTGGCATGCCTTTTCTGTTATGCTGACAGATTCACACCTTCGATACAGGATTTATATCTTTATCTTTAGTTTTATGCAGTGTTTTTCTATTTTTTATTAACTTCCATTAATCACTTTCAGTATAGAACTTCAACAGTGCATCTTTCTGTTTCTTCAGGTCATATGTGATGGTCATTCCAACACCTTACTCTTCTGTAAGACATTTCACATTTACACTACTGTCCAGTTTCTCCAGTAGTTTGACTTTCTGTGATATAGATAAACATAAATGCGTCCTCTTTTCCTTATCATGGTTACCCATAGGTGTATATGCAGGCTTTTTTTTTGACATTTTCAACAATATCTTAATGCTACAGAGCAGAAAATAATAAGAATGCAGTGAGTAATGCATATATGTCTTGGCCCTATGTGAAGTATTTTGGGGAATCTGCTGTTGGTGTGCCCAGCCTGTGCATACTACTTTATTACCCTTTGTGGGGAAGTCTGAGCTATGTAGAAAAGATACATGGAAGCTGAAGGGGATAGTGGAAGGGTATTTTTCCCTTAGGGATGTTGGATAAATTGTGTGTTGTTCACCTGTGTTTTGACTGCAATATGTCATATGAGGTCAAGTGTGGAGTTTTCCACTTATGGCACTCAAGCACTCAAAAAGTTTTGGATTTTTAAGCATTTCAAATTTTTGGACTTGGAATGCTTAAACTATGTGTGTATGTATATCTCTGTGTGTGTGTGTGTGTGTGTCTGTGTCTGAGAGAGAGAGAGAGAGAGAGGAGATTACAAGGAATTTGCTCATGTGACTATGAAGATGGACAAGTCCCAAGATCTACAGAGTGAGCCAGCAAGCTGGAGACCAAGGAGAGTGAATGGCTTAATTTCTCTGAGTCTTAAGGTCCCTACAAATCAGGAGAGTAGATGGTGTAGTTCCTATTTGGAGGCTGGTAGGCTCAGGGCCCAGGAAGAGCTTGTATTAGTCCATTCTCACGTTGCTGCAAAGATACTACCCAAGACAGGATAATTTATAAAGGAAAGAGGTTTAATTGACTCATAGTTCTACATGGCTCAGGAGGCCTCACAATCATGGTGGAAGGTGAAGGAGGAGCATGCCTTACATGGTGGCAGGCAAGAGAACATGTTCAGGATACCTCCCTTTCATAAAACCATCGGATGTCATGAGACTTATTCACTATCATGAGAACAGCATGAGAAAGACTTGCCCCAATGATTCTATTACCTCCCACCAATTCTTCACCATGACATGTGGGACTTATGGGTGCTACAAATCAAGATGAGATTTGGGCGAGGACACAGCCAAACCATATAATTTCACCCTGGATCCCTCCCAAATCTCATGTCCTCACAATTCAAAACACAATCTTGCCCATCCAACTGTCCCCCAGAGCCTTAACTCATTCCAGCATTAACTCAAAGGTCTAAATCCAAAGTCTCATTTGAGGCAAGGCAAGTCCCTTCTGCCTATGAGCCTGTAAAATCAAAATCATGTTAGTTACTTCCTAGATACAATGGGAGTACAGGCATTGGGTAAATATAGCAATTCCAAATGGGAGAAATTGTCCAAAACAAAAGGACTACAGGCCCTATGCAAGTCTGAAATCCAATAGGGCAGTCATTAGGCCTTAAAGTTCCAAAATCATTTCCTTTGACTCCATGTCTCACATCTAAGTCATGCTGATGCAAGAGGTAGGTTCCCATAGTCTTGGGCACTCTGCCGCTGTGGCTTTGCAGAGTAGAGCCCACCTCCTGGCTGGGCTTTCATGAGCTGGCATTGTATGTCTGTGGCTTTTCCAGGTGCACAGTGGAAACTATCGGTGGATCAATCATTGTGGGGTCTGGAGGACAATGGCCCTCTTCTCACAGCTCCACTACGCAGTGCCCCAGTGGGGACTCTGTGTGGGGGCTCTGCACCCACGTTTCCCTTCTGCACTGCCCTATCAGAGGTTCTCCATGAGGGCTCCACCCTTTCAGCACACTGCTGCCTTGACATCCAGGCATTTCCATACATCCTCTGAAATCTAGGTGGAAATTTCCATGCCTCAATTCTTGACTTTTGTGCACCCACAGGCCCAGCACCACATGTAAGCTGCCAAGCCTTGGAGCTTGCATCCTCTGAAGCAATGGCCTGAGCTATATGTTGGCCCCTTTTAGCCATGGCTGGGACACAGGGCACCAAGTCCTGAGACTGCACAAAGAAGCAAGGCCCTGGGCCCAGCCCACAAAACCATTTTTTTCTTCTATGCCTCTGGGTTTGTGATGGAGGGGGCTGTCATGAAGACCTCTTGCATGCCCTGGAGACATTTTCCCCATTGGCTTGGTGATTAACATTTGGGTCCTCATTACTTATGCAAATATCTGCAGCTGGCTTGAATTTCTCCTTGGAAAGTTGGTTTTTTATTTTCTATCACATTATCAGCCTGCAAATTTTTCAAACTTTTATGCTCTGCTTCTCTTTTAAACATAAGTTCCAATTCCAAACCATATCTTTGTGAATACATAAAATGGAATGCTTTTAACAACACCCAAATCACCTCTTGAATGCTTTGCTGCTTATAAATTTCTTCCACCAGATACCCTAAAGTATCTCTCTCAAGTTCAAAGTTCCACAGATCTGTAGGGCAGGGGCAAAATGCTGCCAGTCTCTTTGCTGAAACATAACAAGAGTCACCTTTATTCCAGTTCCCAACAAGTTCCTTATCTCCATTTGAGATGAGTAGCATTTGGTCAAAGCCATTCAACAAGTCTCTAGGAAGTTCCAGACTTCCCCACATCTTCCTGTCTTCTGAGCCCTCCAAACTATTTCAACCACTGCCTGTTAGCCAGTTACAAAATCATTTCCACGTTTTTGGGTATCTTTACAACAACACCCCACTACTCAGTACCAATTTACTGTATTAGTTCATACTCACATTGCTGCAAAGATACTACCAGAGACTAGGTAATTTACAAAGGAAACAGGTTTAATTGACTGACAGTTTGGCATGGCTGGGGAGGCCTCACAATCATGGTGTAAGGCAAAGGAGGAGCAAAGTCACATCTTACATGATGGCAGGCAAGAGAACGTGTACAGGGGAGCTCCCCTTTATAAAACCCTCAGATTTCTTGAGACTTATTCACTAACACGAGAACAGCACAGGAAAGACCTGCCCCCATGATTTAATTACCTCCCACCAGGTCACTCCCATGAAAGTAGAAATTATGAGAGCTCCAATTCAAGAGGAGATTTGGGTGGAAGCACAGCCAAACCATATCGGAGCTGATATTTCAGTTTGAGTCCAAAGGCAGGCAAGAAGTCCATGTTCCAGTCTGAAGGCACTCAGGCAGGAAAGAATTCTCTCTTACTTAAGGAAGGCTCACCTTTTGGTTCTATTCAGGCCTTCTACTAATTTTATGGCCCCACCCACATTATCTGCTTTCTTGAGTCTACCAATTTAAACGTTAATTTTATCTAAAAACATTCTCACAGAAATACTCAGAAGATTGTTTGACCAAATATCTAGACACCTACTGTCTTGGTAAAAATGACACATTAAATTAACCATCACAGACTCTAAGTAGAAGTGGGTGGTAGTCATCAGTCACAGTAGTGTTTTCTGCCAATTTATATTTGCCATAATAAGCAACAAAGTATCATTACATAAGTGCTATTCATCTATTTGAAAACATTTATTGGGCCCCAATAAATATCATAGATATGGAAAGTTACAGAATACTTTGTAACAATAGAGTCAGTCTTGGGATATGACTGGATGGATATATGGCTAGGACAGGAATAGACATGCAGGCATAGGGAATAAGTGTCCTGCCAAAGTCTCTGAGACAGGAAAAGAACTTGGTCAATAAAAATGTGGAAAACTGCCAATCTGGTGAAGCACAGTATAAATCACATTAAAGATATGGATCTATATTCTAAGGAAAATGAGAAGAAATTGACAGCTTGAAGCATAAGAGTAACATACCTAATTTTTATTTTTGAAAGGCCATTCTAGTGTCTATATGGAAAATAGACGATATAGGATCAAAATTGGAGGAATTAAGTACAGTTATAAAAAGACAGTGGAGATATGGACAATAGCAGAGATACAGAGAACTGAATACATGTACAAATAAAAGAAGAATTGATAGCACTCAGCAATTAATTGGATTTAGGGTAAAAAAAAAGGAAAGTGTCAATAGTGATTCTTGCGTTTTTTGGTCTAAGGAGCTGTGTAGATGGTATTACCACTTGCTGAGATGTAGACCCTTACAAGAGAAGCAGATAAGAATGAGGGAGATCACAAATGTGCTGTATGAAGAAGTTCCTGTTCACTGTGAGATATGGAAGTGTAAATTCCTTATGGTAGAGATAAATACATGAATCCAGCAGTCAGCAGAATGGTTTGGCTTTGTACACATATATCTGGATGGGCGGTATTAAATATCATGAGGATAAACGAGGTAACCTAGGAAGAGTACAGAGTTAGATAAAATGGGAAGATAGACTGAGCCCCGAGAAATATCAATATACATTTTTAAATAAGTTAGAATAAACTCTATAAGAGCTGAGAAGAAGCCATCAAAGGAAAACCACGTGAATGTGGAGCAACAAAGGGAAAATGAAGAGAATGTCTTAAGCAGGATGGAAAATAATAATAATGATAATGGCTGCAATAACATCAACAATATAAACTAAACTGCACTATTTACCAAGTTTCAGGCCCTTTACTAATCACTTTATAGGCTTCATCTTGCTCAGTCCTTACAAAACTATGTGAGGTCGGTTTCATTATTATCACCATTTTACATGTGGTATAATTGAAATTTCAAGAAGCTAGTCCTTTTACCAAAGACACTGGAAGTCTGACTTTACAACTCTCATCCTTAACTACTTAGTTATGTTAACTCTCCAATGTGGTGAGTGATTATATTTAGGAAAATTTTTATTTGTAACAGACAAAACACAACTTCAAGAAAATAGGGGATTTATTTGGAAATGTTTGTATTATAGCTTCAAGTGTGGTGATATCTAGGGACAGAAAAACACACACACATACACACACACACACACACACATATCAGTTGGTCCTTTTCTGACTTTCAGTTCTACCCTCCATTGTAACAGTGCACAGAGAAATAAATAGGTGTGCAGAAGGATACAGAAGCCAGAAACCAAGTTAATGAAGATCTTACTGAAGCATTTGTCCTTTATATTTTGATCCATTCTCTAGGTTGACAAATTCTTTTCAGAAGTCCGTAGAAAAGGAACTTCTTGCTTCATGGTCACTAAGTCAAAATCAGTAGCATTAATGCTAATGGAATTCAGTTAGTTCATGTGACCTCCTACAAATTAACTACAGATGCTAAGGATATTGTTATATATGCTTCAATTAATCAGGCTTGGGCTACCTGTTGCCCCCTAGACCTGGGGTGACCCTCAATTTAACTCCACATAGACTAAAAATGACTGAAGATGTTCTCACTAAGATAATACATTGTAAACTGTCAACCACTCTGTTTCTCAGGCATCAAGTCAGATGGGGATTTAAAAGTGTCTATTAAAAATAGCACCAGTGAGTTTACTTTCTTAGCCAAAGCAATTTTATTAAAGCAATAGATTTAGAAGACTAATTGGAGTAGGATGAAGGGTTGATGGGAGGTAAAGAAGATGCACGTATACATGAAGGAAAATGCATGTTTGACTGAAGCAGAGCAGATAAATCAAACTTCTGTTTGTATTTATTGATTAGCTTTGTATGAGGATCATCGGCCAATAATAAAGATGCAAAAATTTGATATCTTGCTTAACATCTCAAAACTCTAAATAAAATACCCGGAAAGTCTAATTTGAACAACGAACATACTCTTTTTAAACTCCTCACCCCATACACATTCATACATACGATTTTATTGTAAATCATTTTAGTGGTTTTAACTAAAATATGGGCTTGGATGGCTCTTATCATTGTTATTTTTTGTTTGTTTTATATACTTACATATTTAGATCATTCCATAGCTTAGCTTATCACACGTGCCCAATCTTTTCATATTTTCATTCATTCTTCCACTTCCTAATTTGCTTTTGTTGTACTAGACTCTCTCTTTAATGCCATGCTGACGTTCTCAGCACAGCTCTCACATGCTGGAGGGTCTGCTTAGTCGGCTTCCATGTCCTCTTGATTTCGGCTATTGAATCTCATTAACATCAAATCCTTTGTTACCCCTTTTTTCAGGTGGGAGCATGAGAAAGTTAATCTTATGAGACTTTGCTTGTCTAAAAATATCTTTATTTTACTCTTACATTTTATTGGTAGCTTTGCTGACAAAGAAATTCAAGACTGAAATTATTTTTCTTCTGAATTTTAGTATCATTATTGTTATTATTATTATTTTTAGAAACAGAGTCTCTGGAGTGCAGTGGTGCAATCATAGCAGCAGGCTGGGGTGCAGTGGTGCAATCATAGCTCACTGTAGCCCTGAACTCCTAAGCTCATGTGGTACCCCTGCCTCAGCCTCCAAAGTATTTTCTTCAGTCTTTTGAAGGCTTTATTCTGCTGTCTTTTAGCTTTGTGGAAGCCTGAACCCTGAAGCCATTTTTCCATTTTGAGAGTTGATCCTTTTGATAAGAGTGTGAGCTTTTTCCCAATAATTTATGAAACTTAGTAAAGCTTCTTCTAACCTTCCATGTTCTAAAATTTAACATGATTTCCCTCAGCCTGGGATCATTTTTATTCACTATGCTGGACACTTTGATGGTCAGTTCAACCTAGAGTTGACCTTTCAGTTAATTAAATTTTCCTGAATAATTTTTTGATGATATTATTTTCCTCCAATTATTTTTGCTATTTACCCTTAATACTTAGTCAAAATGCAAACTTTATCAAAATATTTTGCCAAGCTAGTAATAGAAAATAGGTCAAATTGTTTCTTTTTCATATAGCTTCGAGATTCTTAGTGCAGTGAAAGAGATGGATAATGTTTTTTCTTATTATAAAATAAGCAGACATTACTACTTTTTGCCCTTGCTTGCCCTACAAAGGTAGGAAGAAAATAAGATGTCAGTCAGACAATCTGCAGAATATTTTACAAATGACACTAAAAAGATACTGGAACAAGTGGTAAGACAGGACAGTAAGATATATCTTTTATTGTGAATTTGTTGTCAGTTGTCAAAATCTGTGAGTCAATCAAAAAGAACATAAACTCTCAGCAAATATCAAAGAAAACCCATCAGTTTGAATCAATTTTCTTCACTGGTTAGAATTACTAGGGTTAGGTGTGAATCTACTCATTCACTCTGTTGCTATTGGTTAAATAAGACAGCTCACCTGGTATAGTGAATGAAAGAATATATAACATAAATAATTAAGCCAGATTTCCCCTTTAGAATCATTTGTGTGCCTTTCAAGGTCTTCCCCATAAGTACAATCAATGAATGATGAATTAAATGCCTATTTTATTTAATTAGTTAAATGAAATTCCCACACATGTTTTTAAATCACTAAACCAAAGCACATAAATGAGAGAATGTGAGATCAGTGAGTGGTCATCACCCAAGCAAGCTCAAAGTGACATACTCAAATAAGAAAGAACAGAAGAATTCTAGAACAGCATCTGGAAGTCTTACACCAGAGCATGGAGTCCAATTTTCTTGCACATTCCCAGAGACTCAGTTTGAAGCCACACTTCTAGCTTCCAGTCAGGGGGATAACTGACAGCCTGTAAAACAACATATCCACAAGCAAATCTCAAACAGAAAATTATGTTGTGTATTCGTGGGCAGAAGAAGATGATCAAAGCATCTGAATATTCACTAGGGCTCCCTCGGAAATAGAATGTTAAATATTAACAAAGGATTTAGTCCAATTTAAGTGATTTTCCTCTTGCTTTGGAAATGACAGTTTTCTCAATAGCACCGAGAGGTATATTTTATACATATCCCACATGTCAGTTCAAATATGTTGTTAATTAAACAAGTTGCAATAATTGCATAATAATTGAAAGGCTAACATTGTATTTGAGGGATTCCCAGCAGCTAGTGTCTATGTCTCTCGTTTTAGGTTTTTGTACAGCTTTATTCATTTCCCTTTAGCTTATCACTAGAAATATTATAAATTTGTGCAAGAATTTCAAGTGTTTTCTGTTTAGTTTTTATTGCTGAGTGATATGGTTTGGCATCCCCAACCAAATCTCCTTTCAAGTTGTAACCCCAGTAATCCTCACATGTTGAGGGAGAGACCTCGTGGGAGGTGATTGGATCATGGGGGCATTTTCCCCCATGCTAAAGAAGTTCTCACGAGATCTGATGGTTTTATAAATGGCAGTTTCCCCTGGTCTTTTCTCTCTGTCCTACCATCATGTGAAGAAGGTGCCTGCTTCCCCTTCACTTTCCCCCATGATTGTAAGTTCCTGAGGCCTCCTCAGCCCTGCAGAACTGTGAGTCAATTAACTTCTTTCCTTTATAAATTACCTAGTCTCAGGGAAGTTCTTTATAGCAGTGTGAAAATTTACTAATACACTGAGGTCATATGGTATTACTAATAATATATTTGTGTCTTTTTAAAATAGATTATTTTAGTAGTTGTCTTTTTAAACTTTTAAATTTTTACTTTTATCAAATTGGCATTCTCATACCCTCATTTTAATTTATTATATTAAGTACAATAATCTTAGAACTGCCAAGAAAATATGCTTAAAGGTAGAAATTGTTCATAATAAATTTTATTTCTGACTGTATTTTTTGATACTGTCTTCTAGTGTAGCATTATTGTAATCTTGGAATGTGTGTCTATGGTTCTGGCTATCATTATAGTTGAAAATATCTGGTGTCTCAAGCAAAGACTGAGGATTTGATTTCACCAGATTCTGTACTAATAACACAGAAATGGTACATATCTGAAACATTTAGCACCGGTAAACGTGGTTAAGGGAAAACTCATTCCCATTGGCCAAATTATAGTTGGAAATCAGAATAAATTTGGTACATGAGGTTGAGAAATAATAAATAAGTGACTTGGTTGTCCATGGCCCCACTGAGTATTTATAGAAGAGTAGGAACTAAGACACCCATTTATTGTATCTAATTTATACTCATCTATGTCATTATTGTGATGTAGCTCTGATCAAAGTCAGATTTTTTATCAGAACTGTTTGACAAGTTTTCCATGACCCATGTGATCAATTACTACTTTCCAACTTCTAAAACTTACAGCCATGCTTTATGGCAGTGTCCTTAGTCCTAGATGCACACTAAATTCACCTTGGAAGCACTTAAAATAATATGATCATCCAGATCCTGTCCTTAGGTTCTGATTTAATCAGTCTATAGTTGTTACTTTAACACTAATATTTTCCAAAAAACTTTCTGAGAGAATCTAATGTGCAGCCAGGGTTTAAAATATCTACTCTGGTTTCAACTGAATATTTTCAGGCACTAAAGAACTTATCAATCTAGATTCAAGAATTAAAAGTGTACAAATAAGGTTAGAATTTATTAATTTATCCTCTCTCTCAAATAGGAATGTACCTCATTACATTGCTGATGGGTGATTCTCCAGTGTTGGTAAAGTTTCATTCCATTGCATTTCTGACAACTGCAAAGGTCTTTTTTAGCCTAAACTAAAATATCTTTCCTTCTCACTAAGAATTACCTTTGTACTTTGTATTTTTGTTTTCTGGTGAAGCTTGGGATAATTTATTGTTTTTTTCTCACATCTTCACATTTTCTCTGAGAATACTAGTGGCTTTATCTACTGAATATCAATATTAAATATTTTTTCACTGGATATGCATTTTGAATCGTTTTATTGTTACTTATAAGAAATCTTTTTGTCTTTTTTTTCTTTGCTTTCAAACAGGTTTGAGTATTCTGACCTTCAAATTGTAGAGGACAAAAAGCTTTCCTAACAGTAAACCACTTTTCTAGCTCTAAAGACTTAGAGTTGGTTATGAGTTGCAGTTTTATTCAACTGAATTAGAAAACCAAAGCTCTATATTTTAGTTTCCACCTTGGAATTAATATATGAACGTAGATCTATAGAGTACCCATTACATGCTGAGTATACTGGTGGAGATCAGAATATACAGAAGTATAATAATAGAAATAATGACAATGTACATTTATGAAATATATTACAGAGAAATACAAATTCCTTGCATTAAGGAGCCCTGAATGAGTTTTGGAGATAAGAATATGAGAAAATACAGTGAACAATGCAAGGCAAACTGTTAACAATTTATATGATAAACTGTAGGTACTGTAAGATTTGAAAGTATAGGAAAATATGCAATGATAAGTATTGATGGAAGCCCTTATGAAAGAGGAGAACCTGAAGATAAAAAAAAGTGTTCTATGTAAAGAAGATGGCATAAGGAGACCTTTTGTGTGTGTGTGTGTGTGTGTGTGTGTGTAGAAATAGAGGGCAGAGAAAAGAGGTGAGATGGTGAAGGAGAAGCAAGGGAGAGAAAGAGACATAAATTGATTCTAAATGAAAGGAAAAATGTTGACATTAGGAGGAAGTGAAGGTAAGTGGTGTGCAAGGAATATAGCAGAGTCATTCAGAGCACCAGCTTTGAAGCTTGGTTGATATGAGTTATATTCCTACTCTACTCTCACTAGCTATGTCTGACAAGTGGCAAGTTAGTTAATCTCTGTAAACTTCAATTTTCTTCTTATTAAAATAAGAACAATACTATATCTACCCTATTCTGCATAGCAAATGAGACAATCCCCGTTGAGTACTTGGCTCAGTGTCTGTGCTTAATAAGTATTAGCTAAAACTTAAATGAAGCCAAGCAAAGAAATAATGCATTGAATATGGTTGGAAATTAGTTCTCTGTAAGGCTGCAAAGGAGGGAGCCATATTTAAATTCATTGAGTCTGGCAATAGGAAGCAGAATAAAGGTAGAGAAAATTTAGAGTTTGGGAGACCATCAAATTGAATATTTCAGGAATTCATGCTTGAAAAAAGTAGAGTACAGCACTCATGGCAGTAGAAATAAAAATGATAGAGCAGATGAAAGAGATTTCAAAGAAAATATGCAATATGAATCACCGAGGCTGCCTTCATTCTTTGGAGAAGAAAAGATGCTGTGGTTAATGTTGAGTTTCAAATGGCAGGAAGATATCTGAATACAAGAGTCTGAAAGATAATTGGAAATAATGGCTAGAGTTTGAATGGAATAACAGAAATGCACTTATAGATATGAAAACTGTCAGTACAGAAATAAGAATTGAAGTCATATAATAGGATGAGGTCTGGGTAAGAAAGTGTAGTTGTTCCGCCTTTAGGAAAGAGCTTGTGAGTGGCCAATCTATCTAATGGTTTCTCCTTATTGCAGGCCCTCAAAAGTTATGTACCAGAGCTTATTGACTACTGTTATTCCCATGCACTCCTTGCTTCATTTTTTTTTCTCTTCTGCGTATTCTTCCCCCTCATGTCATTACTTTCACACTTGCTGAGTTGACATCAGTTTCTCTTAAGCAGAGATGAAAGCTATTTTTTTTCATTTTCTTCATTTTACCAATTATCAAATAGTCTTTAGGAATAAAAATTAGAGTAGGTCCAGCCAAAGACAAAATTGCACATTGTGTTTGTTTAGCATTTGATTCTAAAAGTATTTTATATTATTAGGCAGATATTGAAATGCTATGGCTTAGTCCTTACACGAATACATGAATGCATATCATATGTTTATTTATTGTCATTAACTTAAATTTTCTTCTTTTGTTAAATACAATCACACTAGTTTCTCCTATACTGGGAAACATAAAGGAAAGAAAGTTACATGCATACCTTCCCCGCCCACGTCCCCAGTATGAAATGAGATAATTTGGGCTTTGATGATGTTTAAAGAGATAGTTATTATTGTTTGGTATACCATTATCTAATAGATGGAGCTTTGCTCTTCATTGTCATGCTTTGAGTCTGCTGTTATGTTTAAAGAATATGACTGGCCGGGCACGGTGGCTCATGCCTGTAATCCCAGCACTTTGGGAGGCCGAGGCGGGCGGATCACGAGGTCAGGAGATCAAGACCATCCTGGCTAACACGGTGAAACTCTGTCTCTACTAAAAATACAAAAAATTAGCCAGGCGTGATGGCAGGTGCCTGTAGTCCCAGCTACTCGGGAGGCTGAGGCAGGAGAATGGCATGAATCCGCGAGGCGGTGCTTGCAGTGAGCCGAGATCGCGCCACTACACTCCAGCCTGAGCGACAAAGCGAGACTCCGTCTCAAAAAAAAAAAAAAAAAAAAAAAACCATTGGATTTCGCAGGCTGCAATCTATACTCCCTGGGTGAGCAGAGCCTCCAAAGATACACTATTTCTCTTCATAGTTTTATTGTTTGCCTTTTCTGTACTACATAGTAACACTCATTCCATGCTATCTCATTTCTTTTGCAGAGAGGGTCTTGGTGACAGAAGAAAAAAAGAGTGGGGGAAGCTACTTTTTCACCTTGTCCTGGGTGGGCCTTCTGGGAGCGTATATTCGCTGGTAAATGAATGTTTACATAGTTACAAAGAGGAAGAAGTAGCAACAAAGACGACTGGCAGATGGTGTGCTTCAGAGGCCATGTGGTTGTAAGCCAATTTGATGATTTCTACTTAGGCTCTGGGCCAGACAGAATGTCGACATGGTCATTTTTATTACTGGAGTGCTGAGAATCACAACCTGTCTGAGTCACAGTTGGCTTTTGCCAACCTGTACCATGCACAGCCTACATTATGGTGTGCCCTGGGTGGTATGCAACAGATGCAAATATGAAGTCATTATGAAAATGAACCTTCACTCTCATTAACTCATACAAGGTGTTTATGAGGGTCATCACACCTTTCATTTGGCACCTATGTGAAATCTGACTCTTTTAGAGATGGTGCTAATTCATTTTGAGCAGTGATTTTTACTTTATTCACAGACTAGTCTTCTGAAAATCTTGCAAATGAATGTGAGAAAAACAGACAGTTTCTTAATGAGTACGTAAATGACAGAACAGGATAATTCCTCATATGGATAAAAAAAAGGATGTTCATTTTATATATATATATATATACATTGCCCTTATTTTTCGGGACAACTATTTTGGCATTATTTGCACAGTTTAGTAGTCAATACATGTGTGTAGTACAAACCCATTAACTTTACAATAATCAATAACATGTAAAACTAATTTTTATCTTGAAGGAAAATACAGTTTGGATTAATCCATATCTTTAGATAGGGATTAACTAACCAACCCTGTGTCAAGTGAAAATATATATGTCCAGAGGCTTATAAAATAAATCATAATTAAAGTAAATTCGTTAATTAGAATAAACAATTAGTATTTGACTGTCTGCTAATAACTGGTAGATACTAATCTTCTAAACTTCAAGAGTTATGAAAGCAAGGCATTTTCAAAAATCAAAAGAAAATGAGGCTATTTCATAGATTTTAAGTGTTCTTACCACAAAAAATGTGTATGTGAGATAACACGTGTTAATTGCTCAGTTGATTTATCCCACAATGTATAGATATAGCAAAATATCATGTTGTATACCATAAATATATACAATTTTATTTGTCAATCAAAAAAATAAATAATAGGAAAAGAAAAGCTAGGCTACTCTATTTTGAGCAGGTAGATTTTAAAGAGATTTCTTTTTGACAGATATTCTTCTGAAATGTAAGACTTTTAAAATGCATGAAAAATGAGAAGTTGTAAGCACAGGAATAAGTAATTTTACATATCAATCTAAATTTTTCTATCAAATGTTGAGGAGAATTTTGAATTGCAAATAATAATTTAAAATGCAGCTTTTACAAATTTTATTTTCAAGTATTCATGTTGATATTTATGCATGAAAAAGTGATAAACAACTTTCTTTAGTTTTACAATTCTACCAGGAAAAAAGGAACGTCTTTGTTACAATGTTCTTTCCTGTAAATAATATAATCTTACCACTTTCAAGATGAAGTGCCCTAGTTTTTAGCACCGAGAAATGCTGTTTCTAATCCCAAAGATTATGTTCTAACAATCTTTTAATTAACCACATATATTTATTTATTAACACTTATTTCTAGCTTTTTATAGTATACATTGTCAATAATATTTACTCATGATATTGATCTGTGATGAAAAAAGATGAAGTAATACAGTCACAAAGATAGAATGTATCAGTTCCATGGAACAGAGCTTAGTTGATTCAAGTAGCTCAAATAGTTGAGACAGTAGTTTGAGATGAAGGTAGATTAATAAAACCATAAAATTAATCACCTAGATTTAAAAGCTTCAATATTGAATATTTCAAAGAGTTTAAACATTTTGTATAGATTTTATCTACTGTTGTTAATATTTCATTAGGTTAAAAATATGTTTGCCAATTTCAACATCTACCATAATTATGAATTTTTGAATACTAAAAAGGTATAGATATAGCCTTATTTTCCTATTAGAGACAGAAATTAAGGCAGATATACTTGTTTTTATACTTCTAGATATAGAAATTGGCTTTATAACATCTTCACAGAAGATTTTGTAAGTGTCCTCTCTTTGGTCCGTGAAATGCCAAAGTTCATCTTCTTAATGAAATTGGCTTTTTCTGTCTGTCTATTAATTTATTTACTTATTAATTCACTTGTTTATTTTAGAAGCTTTTGTTTTGTTGTCTCCTTATCATGTACCAACTCTAAAAAGTACTTCAAGGTTAGTCAGCACACCATAAGCCAATCTCTTTGAGATGGATCCCATTGTAAAATGCAATACATAATTTTGTCTGCACTACTCTGAATGATCTATTTCCAAACCCAAGCATATGGCATATTTTGCAACTCAGCTTATTTTTTAGAATTTACAAATAAACCGCACTGCTTAAAGTTAGTCGTTATTAGGGTTCTTTTGGAAATTTAAAATTTTCAGGATAAAATATTTGAGGCTATATTCAATGACCTAAAGCTGTGGGGTTTCATTGTCCATTTCTGAGTTAGACTGATGTCAGACTCATGTTTGTTCCCTTGGCCCGTTTGAAACATGTATCATGTCAGCGATTTTTTTCTCAGCTTTCTGCACCTATATAAGGTAAGAACTTTTTCCAAGAATTTCTACTTTTTCTAAACTGTGAAAGACTATTTCATTAAAATGTAACATGTATGCCCAAGCTACCATTTTGGGAATAAAAAACTAATATCTATCAAGTTTTATTATAAGAAATGCAATAGGCAATGTGAGATTCCAATTTACTCAAATCCATATTATGCAATCCATAGGTCGAAGCCATTTGTGGGTCAGGAAATTAATTTAGTAACTCCTGACCAACTTTTTAATATTAAACTATATTAGAAGAAAATAGAAAATGTCTGAGTACCTCTCACACAGAAAGGGTATAGGTTATTTCATTATGTGTATATGTGTGTATGTGTGTGTGTGTGTATTTATATGTACTATTATATATTTTACTGTGTTTCATATAGCACTTTATATTTCATCTTTATGTTAATCTGGACCATCATGGAATGGTGTGCCTGGACTATATAGAAATTATTCTTATCTAATACTGCTTTGGAATACAGTTGTCAGTTTACAACAAAAGACATTATAAAACAACAACAGTCCTATCAATTCTATTGTTTATTTAATAAAAAAGTGGTGATGCTTTTATTGCCTGAGTAGTTGGACTATAGTTACTACTTTACAAGAATACATATAAAAATTTTATTTATTTTCTCTATAATAGAAATGGTTGAGATTCTTCTGACAAGTTTACTAATTGTCTTTTCTTTGTATAGGCAGTCATGCATATTAAAACATGATATAATTTGGACATTAGTTCCTACCCAAATCTCATGCTGAAAAGTAATCCTCAATGCTGGAGGTGGGGCTGGTAGAATGTGTTTGTGTCACGGGGGGAAATCCCTCATTGGTTGGTGCTATCCTTGCAATAGTGAGTGAGTTCTCATGAGATCTTGTCCTTTAAAAGTGTGTGGCACCCCATCCCCCCACCAATTCCCCATACTTCTGCTTTTGCATGTAAAGTGCCTGTTCCAGCTTTGCCTCCTGTCTGCCATGAGTAAAAGCTTCCTGTGACCCTCCCAGAAGTCAAATGATGTCGGAGCCATGCTTGGACAGCCTGCAGAATCATGAGCCAATTAAACCTTTTTTCTGTATCAATTACTCAGTCTCAGGTATTTCTTTATAGCAATACAAGAATGGCCTGATACAGAACGTAATTTATAGACCCTTTTCTGACAAGTAGATAGGATATTATGGCATATATATTAACTATTAACATAAAAATATTTTATAATTAAATATTTTAATTTTTCTCTGCTGTATTAATTTATTTAGTTAAATCTTGGCTATAGTTAGACTTTTAAGAATCAGGCATGTGATAAGTATATCCATACATAGATACAATGACAAATCAACCGTATGGAATAAAAATGATCTTTAAAATCGTGGAGTCATTATGAAAATGACCTATTGGTGGGACTGATACCTCCAGGCCTGGCCTTAAATATAAGTAACAACACATTATATAACCTAAATGTTTTGGCCTGAAAATATTTTTATACACCTAGATACAATCTTTAAAGAAATAATAAATACTTAGGGCATCCAACATACAAAAGTCTTGTCATTTAGAGTTTACAATATGCTTAGTGTAAATCTTAAGGTCACAAATTCTGCAGCCTGAATTTATGGATTTGAATTGTTCTCTGTCCCTTACCATCTATGTTACCTGGAGCAGAGCACTTAGCCCCACTGTGACTGAATACCTTATTCTTAATGTGTGGATGATGATAGAAACTACCTCTTGTAATATTGAAGTATTGAACATCTGCAGTGCTGAAAATACTATTTTGCTTATAGAAACAGTATTCTAAATGTTAGTAATTATTTCCACCATATCCCTCCCTGTTCATGAC